>NC_000010.11:38911580-38913438 GCF_000001405.40 Homo sapiens
GAATGGAATGGAGAGGAGTGGAGTGGAAAGGTGTAGAATGGAATGGAATGGAATACAGTGGAGTGTAGTGGAATGGAGGGGAGTTGAGTGCAGTGGAATGGAATGGAGTGGAATGAAGTGGAGTGGAGTGGAATGGAGAGGAGTGGAGTGGAGTGGAATGGAGCAGAGAGGAGTGGAGTGGAGTGGAGTGAATTGAAGTGGAGTGGGATGGAATGGAGTGGAGTGGAATGGAATGGAATGGAATGGAATGGAATCGAATGGAACAGAATTCAATGGAATGGAATGGAATGGAATCGAATGGAATGGAATCGAAATGAATGGAATGGAATAGAATGGAATGGAATCGAATGGCATTGAATGGATTCGAATCAAATGTGGTGAAGTGGACTGGAGTGGAATGGAGTCAAAAGGAATGGGGTGGAATGGAATTGAACGAAGTAGAGTGCAGTGGAGTGGAATGGAGTAGAGTGGAATGGACTGGGAAGGAATGGAATTGAACGGAGTGGAGTGAAGTGGAGTGGAATGGAATGCAATGGAATGGAATGGAATGGAATGGAATGGTGAAATGAAATGTGAGCTCAGATTGTGCACCGCACTCCAACCTGGGTGACACAGTGAGATCGTGTCAAAAGAAAGGAATGGAATAGAATGGATTTAGAATGTAATGTAATGGAATGGAGTGGAGTGGAGTGGCGTGGAGTGGATTGGTGTGGAGTGGAATGGAGTGGTTTGGATAGTTATGCAATGGAATGGAATGGAGTGGAGTGGAGTGGCATGAAGTGGAGTGGAATCGAGTGGAATCAAATGGGATGGAATGGAACAGAGTAGAGTGGAGTGGAGTGGAAAGATGCAGAAAGAAATGGAATGGAATGGAGAGGAGTGGAGTGGAGGGCAGTTGAGTAGAGTGGATTGGAGTGCAGTGAAATGGAGTGGAATGGAGTGGTGTGGAGTGGTGTGGAATGGAGTAGAATGGAGTGGAGTGGAGTGGAGTGGAGTCGAGTGGAAAGGTGTAGAATGGAATGGAATGGAAAGGAGAGGAGTGGAGTGGAGTGGATTTGAGTGGAATGGATGGTAGTGCTGTGGAATGGAGTGGAGTGGAATGGAGTATAGTGTAGTGGAGTGGAATGGAATAGAACGAAATGGAATGGAGTGGAATGGAATGGAATGCAATGGAATGGAATTGAAGGGAATGGAATGGAATCGAATGGATTGGAATCGAACGGAAATGAATGAATTCAAATGAAATGGAATGGAAAGGAATTTAATGGAATCGAATGGAATGAGGTGAAATGGAGTGGAGTGGAGTGGAATGGAGTGGAATGAAGAGGGATAGAATGGAAATGAATGGCGTGGAGTGGAGTAGAATGGAGTGGAGTGGAATGGAATGGGAAGGAATGGAATTGAATGAAGTGGAGTGGAGTAGAATGGAGTGGAGTGGAATGGAATGGGAAGGAAAGGAATTGAATGGAGGGTAGTGGAGTGGAGTGCAATGAAATGCAATGGAACATAATCGAATGGAATGGTGAATTGAAACGTGAGCTGAGATTGCGCACTGCACTAAAGCAAGGGTGAGACAGTGAGATCCTGTTGAAAGAAAGGAAGTGAATGGAATGGATTTAGAATGGAATATAATGGAATAGATTTAGAATGGAATATATTGGAATGGATTTAGAATGGAATGAAATGGAATGGAGTGCAGTGGAGTGGAGTGGAGTGGAATTGACTGGAGTTTAGTGGAACGGAATGGTATGGATTGTAATGGAATGGAATGCAATGGAGTGGAATGGACTGCTGTGGAGTGGAGTATAGGGGAGTGGAGTGGAATGGAGTGGAATGGAATGGGATGGAATGGAATGGA
>NC_000010.11:39230136-39238955 GCF_000001405.40 Homo sapiens
TTGAAACACAGTGTTTGTCAACTCAGCAAATGGACATTTGGGGGCACTTTGAGACCCACTGTGAAATAAGAATATCCCAAGATTAAAAACTAGAAGGAACATATCTGAGGAACTGCTTTGTGATATGTTCATTCATCTCACATAGTTAAATCATTCTTTTCATTCAGCAAGCTGGAAGCAGTGTTTTTGTAGAACCTGCAAAGGGATATTTCAGAGAGCATTGAGGCCTGTGGTAAAAAAGGAAATATTTTCAGAGGAAAACTAGAAAGAAGCTTTCTGAGAAATTGCTTTGTGATGTTTGCATTCCTCCCACAGTGTTAAAGCATTCTTTGGATTCAGTAGTTTGGAAGCACAGTTTTTTTCCATTCTGCAAATGGACATTTCAGAGCTTTTTGGGGCCAGTGGCGAAAAAGCAAATATCCCTGAATAAAAACTAGAAGGAATCTATCTGAGAAACCACTGGGTCATGTGAGCATTCATTTCACAGAGTCCCACAATTCTTTTCATTCAGCTGTTTCGAAGCAGTGTTTTTACAGAATCTGCAAAGGGATATTTCAGAGAGTACTGAGGGTTATGGTGAAAAACAAACATCTTCAGTTAAAAACTAGAAAGAAGCTCTCTGAGAATCTGCCTTGTGATGTATCCATTCATCTCACAGAGTTAAATATTTCTTTGGATTCAGAACTTTGGAAAATTTGTTTTTGTCCATTCTGTGAATGGACATTCAGGAACTCATTGAGGCCAATGGCAGAAAAAAGGATAGCCCAGGTTTAAAACTAGAAGGCAGCTATATGAGAAACTGCTTTGTGATGTGACCATGTACTTCACAGATTTAAACTTTTCGTTTCATTCAACAGTTAGAAATCACTGGTTTTGTAGAATCTGCAAAGGCTTATTTCCAAGAGTATTGTGGTCTATGGTGAAACAGGGAACACCTTCAGGAAATAGTGATAAAGAAGCTTTCTGAGAAATTGCTTTGAGAGGTGTGCATTCATCTCACAGAGTTAAAGCTTTCTTTAGATTCACTAGTTTGGAAACAGAGTTTTTGTTCTTTCTGGGAATGGATCTTTCGGAGCTCTTTGTGGCCAATGGCTAAAGAGAAAATATCCCTGAAAATCAACTAGAAGGAATCTATCTGAGAAATTGCTGTGTCATGTGGGAATTCATTTCAGAGTTTAAGCATTCTTTTCATTCAGCTGCTATGAAGCAATGCTTTTGTAGAATCTGCAAACAGATATTTCAGAGAGCATTGAGGTCAATGGTGAAAAGAAAACAACTGTTAAAAACTGGAAAGAAGGTTTCTGAGAATCTGCCTTGTGATGTGTCCTTTCATCACACAGAGTTAAAACTCTCCTTGTATTCAGCAGTTTGGAAAATCTGTTTTTTTTCCATTCTGTGAATGGACATTTGGGAGCTGATTGAGGCCAGTGACAAAAAAGGGGATATCCCAGGATTACAGCTAGAAGGCAGCTATCACAGAAACCGCGTTGTGATGTGAGCATGCGTGTCACAGATTTAAACCTTACTTTTCATTCAGCAGTTAGAAATCACGTTTTCGTAGAATCTGCAAAGGCTTATTTCAGAGAGTATTGAGGCCTATGTTGAAATAGGAAACATCTTCAGATTAAAACGAGAAAGAAGCTTTCTGAGAAACAGCTTTGTGATGCATGCATTCATCTCAGAGTATTCAAGCTTTCTTTGGATTCAGTAGTTTGGAAAAAGAGTTTTTGTCCATCCTGAAAATGGACATTTCGGAGCTCTTTGGGGCCAATGGCGAAAAATAAAATATCCCGAATAGAAAATAGAAGGAGTCTATCTGAGAAACTGTTGTGTCAATTCACAGAGTCAAACCAACATTTTCATTCAGCTCTTTAGAAGCAGTGTTTTTACATAATCTGCAAAGGGATATTTTGGAGAGCATTGAGGCCAATGGTGAAAAGGAATCATCTTCTTTTAAAAACTGGAAAAAACCTTTCTGAGAATCTCCTTTGTGATGTGACCCTTAATCTCACAGAGTTAAAACTTTCCTTGTATTCAGCAGTTTGGAAAATCTGTTTTTGTCCTTTCTGAAAATGGACATTTGGGAGCTCATTGAGGCCAGTGGCAAAAAAAGGGATGTCACAGGATTACAGCCAGAAGGCAGGTATCTGAGAAACCACTTTACAATGTGAGCATATATTTCACAGAGTTAAACCTTTCTTTTCATTCAGCAGTTAGAAATCAGTGCCTTTGTAGAATCTGCAATGGCTTACATCGGAGATTATTGATGCCTATGGTGAAATAGGAAACAACTTCACATGAAAATGTGAAAGAAGCTTTCTGACAAACTGCTTTGTGATGTGTGCTTTCATCTCACAGACTTCAAGCTTTCTTTGAATTCAGTAGTTTGGAAACACGGTTTTTTCCATTCTGCGAATGGACGTTTCAGAGCTCTTTGGGGCTAATAGTGAAAAAGCAAATACCCCTGAATAAAAACCAGAAGGAACAGATCTGAGAAACTGCTTTGTGATGTGAGCATTCATTTCACAAAGTTAAACCATTCTTTTCATTCAGCTCTTTGGAAGCAGCACTTTTACAATACCTGCAAAGTGATATTTAGTAGAGCATTGAGTCCTGTGGTGAAAAAGGAAACATTTTCCGTTAAAAACGAGAAAGAAGCTTTCTGAGAAACTGCCTTTTGATGTGTCCATTCATCTCACAGACTTCAAGCTTTTTTTGGATTCAGTAGTTTGGAAGCAGTGTTTTTGTCCTTTCTGCGAATGGACGTTTTGGAGCTCTTTCTGGCCAAAGGCCAAAAAGCAAATTTCCCTGAATAAAAACTGGAAGGAATCTATCTGAGAAACTGTTTTGTGAAGTGAGCATTCATTTCACAGAGTTAAACCATTCTTTCCATTCAGCTGTTTGGAAGGAGTGTTTTTACAGTATCTGTAAAGGGATATTTCAGAGAGCATTGTGGTCTATGGTGAAAAAGGAAATATCTTCAGTTGAAAACTAGAAAGAAGCTTCCCAAGAAACTGCTTTGTGGTGTCTTCATTCATCTCCCAGATGTAAAGCTTTCTTTGGATTCAGCTGTTTGGAAAATCTGTTTTTGTCCATTCTGCTAATGGACATTTTGGAGTTCTTTGAGACCAGTGGCAAAAAAGGGTATATCTCAGAATTAAAATTAGAAGCAGGAATGTGAGAAACGGCTTTGTGATGTGAGCATTCATTTCACAGAGTTAAACCTTCCTTTTCATTCAGCAGTTAGAAAACACTGGTTTTGTAGAATGCGCAAAGGGTTGTTTCGGAGAGTATTTTTGTGTATGGTGAAATAGGAAACATCTTCTGATAAAAATGAGAAAGAAACTTTCTGTGAAACTGCTTTGTGATGTGGGTATTCAACTCGCAGGGTTAAAGCTTTCTTTGGCATCAGTAGTTTGGAAACAGAGTTTTTGTCCATTTTTTGAATGGATAATTCAGAGCTCTTTGTGGCCAATGGCAAAAAAGAGAAGATCCTTGAATAAAAACTAGATGGGATCTATCTGAGAAACAGCTGTGTGATGTGAGCATTCATTTCACAGAGTTATATCATTCTTTTCATTCAGCTGTTTGGAAGCAGTCTTTTTGTAGAAACTACAAAGGGATAATTTGGAGAGCATTGAGGTCTATGGTGAAAAAGAATCTTCTTCTGTTAAAAACTGGAAGGAAGATTTCTGAGAATCTGCCTTGTGATGTGTCCATTCATCTCACAGAGTTAAACCTTTCCTTGTATTCAACAGTTTGGAAAATCTGTTTTTGTGCATTCTGCAAATGGACATCTGGGAGCTCATTGAGGCCAGTGGCAAAAAGGGGATAACCCAGGATTACAGATAGAAGGCAGCTATCTGAGAAACTGCTTTGTGATGTTAGCATGCATTTCACAGAGTTAAATCTTTCTTTTCACTCAGCAGTTAGAAATCAATGTTTTTATAGAATCTGCAAAGGCTTATTTCAGAGAGTACCGAGGGCTACGGTGAAATAGGAAACATCTTCAGATAAAAATGACAAAGAAGCTTTCTGAGAAACTGCTCTGTGATGTGTTCATTCATCTCACAAAGTTAAAGCTACTTTTTTATTCAGTAGTTTGGAAATGGAGTTTTTGTCCATTCTGGGAATGGACAGTTGGGAGCTCTTTGGGGCCAATGGCGAAAAAGAGAATATCCTTGAATAAAAACTAGAAGGAATCTATCTGAGAAACCGCTGTGTCATGTGAACATTCATTTCAAAGAGTTAAACCATTCTTTTCATTCAGCTCTTTAGAAGCAGTGTTTTTGTAGAATCTGCAAAGGGACATTTCAGAGAGCATTGAGGAATACGGTGAAAGGGAAACATCTTCTACTAAAAACTGGAAAAAAGCTTTCTGAGAATCTGTCTTGAGATGCGTCCATTCATCTCATAGCATTAAACCTTTCCTTGTATTTAGCAGTTTGGAAAATCTGATTTGTCCATTCTGCGAATGGACATTTGGGAACTCATTGAGGCCAGGAGCAGAAAAGGGGATATCTCAGAATTAAAACTAGATGTGATGATGTGAGAATCGGTTTTGCAATGTGAGCATTCATTTCTCAGAGTTAAACCTTTCTTTTCATTCAGCAGTTAGAAATCACTGGTTTTACAAGATCTGCAAAGGGTTATTTCGGAGAGTATTGTAGCCTATGGTGAAATAGGAAACACCTTCAGATAAAAAGGATAAAGAAGTTTTCTGAGAAACTGCTTTGTGATGTGTGCATTCATCTCACAGTTAAAGTTCCTTTGGATTCAGTAGTTTGGGAATAGAGTTTTTGTCCATTCTGGGAATGGATGTTTCAGAGCTCTTTGGGGCCAATGGCAAAAATGGGAATATCCCTGAAAAAAAACAAGAAGGAATCTATGTGAGAAACTGCTGTGCCATGTGAGCATTCATTTCACAGTGATAAACCATTCTTTTCATTCAGCTGTTTGGAAGCAGTGTTTTTGTAGTATCGGCAAAAGTATATTTCAGAGAGCATTGAGGCCTATGGTGAAATGGAAGCTTATTCTGTTAAAAACTGGAGAGAAGCTTTCTGAGAATCTGACTAGTGATGTGTCCATTCATCTCACAGAGTTAAACCTTTCCTTGTATTCAGCAGTTTGGAAAATCTGTTTTTGTCCATTCACAGAATGGACGTTTGGGAGCTCATTGAGGCCAGTGGCAAAAAAGGGGATATCCCAGGATTACAGCTAGAATGCAGATATCTGAGAAATTGCATTGTGATGTGAGCATACATTTCCCAGAGTTAAACATTTCTTTTCACTCAGCTGTTGGAAATCACTTTTTTTGTGGAATCTGCAAAGTCTTATTTTGTAGATTATTGAGGCCTATGGTGAAATAGGAAACATCGTCAGATAAAAACGAGATAGACGCTTTCTGAGAAACTGCTTTGTGATGTGCACATTCATCTCACAGAATTCAAGCTTCCTTTGGATTCAGTAGTTTGGAAACACAGTTTTTGTCCTTCCTGTGAATTGAAGTTTTGTAGCTCTTTGGTGGCAATGGCAAAAAAGTGAATATCCATGAATAAAAACTAGAAGGAACAGATCTGAGAAACCACTTTGTGATGTGAGAATTTATTTCACAAAGTTAAACCACTCTTTTCACTCAGCTGTTTGGAAGCAGTGTTTTTACAGAATCTGTAAAGGGATATTTGGGAGAACATTAAGGCCTGGGGTGAAAAAGCATCATCTTCAGTTAAAAACGAGAAAGAAGCTTTTTGAGAAATAGCTTTGTGTTTTGTGCATTCATCTCACAGACTTCAAGCTTTTTTTGGATTCAGTAGTTAGGAAAAAGAGTGTTTGTCCATTTTGTGAATGGACATTTTGGTGCTGTTTCGGGCCAAAGGCCAAAAATTGAATATCCCTGAATAAAAACTAGAAGGAATCTATCTGAGAAACCACTTTGTGATGGGAGCATTCATTTTACAGTGTTAAACCATTCTTTTCATTCAGCTGTTCAGAAGTCGTGTTTTTACAGAATCTGCAAAGGGATATTTGGGAGAGCATTGAGGCCTGTGGTGAAAAAGCAACATCTTCAGCTAAAAATGAGAAAGAAGCTTTCTGAGAAACAGCTTTGTGTTGTGTGCATTCACCTCACAGACTTCAAGCATTTTTTGGATTCAGTAGTTTGGAAGCGGAGTGTTTGTCCATTTTGTGAATGGACATTTCGGTGCTGTTTCTGGCCAAAGGCCAAAAATCGAACATCCCTGATTAAAAACTAGAAGGAATCTATCTGAGAAACTGCTTTGTGATGGGAGCATTCACTTCACAGTATTAAACCATTCTTTTCATTCAGCTGTTTGGAAGCAGTGTCTTTACAAAATCTGCAAAGGGATATTTCTGAGAGCTTTGAGTACTATGGTGGGAAGGAAACAAACTTCTGTTAAAAGATGGAAAGAAGCTTTCTGAGAATCTGCCTTGTCATGTGTCCATTCATCTCACAGAGTTAAAACTTTCTTGTATTCGGCAGTTTAGAAAATCTCTTTTTCTCCATTCTATGAATGGACATTTGGGAGCTCATTGACGCAAATGGAAAAAAAGGGGATATCCCAGGATTACAGCTAGAAGGCAGCTATCTGAGAAACAGCTTTGAGATGTGATCATGCATTTCACAGAATTAAAATATTCTTTTCATTCACCTCTTTAGAAGCAGTGTTTTTGTAGAATCTGCAAAGTGATATGTCAGAGAACATTGAGGCTTATGATGAAAAGGAAACATCTTCTAATAAAAACTGGAGAGAAGCTTCATGAGAATCTGCTTTGTGATGTGTCCATTCATCTCACAGAGTTAAACCTTTCCTTGTATTCAGCAGCTTGGAAAATCTGTTTTTTAACATTCTGTGTATGGACATTTGGGAGCTCATTGAGGCCAGTGGCAAAAAAGGGAATATCTCAGGATTAAAACTAAAAGACAGGTATGTGAGAATCAGCTTTGCGATGTGAGCATGCATTTCATATAGTTAAACCTTTCTTTTCATTCAGCAGTTAGAAATTACTGGTTTTGTAGAATCTGCAAAAGGTTTTCTCAGAGAGTATTGTGGCCTATGGTGAAATAGGAAATATCTTCAGATAAAAACGAGAAAGAAGCTTTCTGAGAAAGTGCTTTGTGATGTGGGCATTCATCTCACAGAGTTAAAGCGTCCTTTGGATTCAGTAGTTTGGAGGCAGAGTTTTTGTCCATTCTGCAGATAGACATTTCAGAGCTCCTTGGGGCCAAATGCCAAAAAGTGAATATCCCTGAATAAAAACTATAAGGAATCTATCTGAGAAACAGCTTTGTGATGTGAGCATTCACTTCACAGAATTAACCCATTCTTTTCTTTCAGCTGTTTGGAAGCAGTGTTTTTACAGAATCTGCAAAGGGATATTTCAGTGAGCATTGAGGTCAATGGTGAAAAAGGAAACATCTTCAGTTAAAAACTAGAAAGAAGCTTTCTGGGAAACTGCTTTGTGACGTGTGCATTCATCTCACAAAGGCAAAGCTTTCTTTGGATTCAGTAGATTGGAAGCAGAGTTTTTATCATTCTGTGAATGGACATATTGGAGCTCTTTGGGGCCAATGGCAAAAAAGTGAATGTCCCTGAATAAAAACTAGAAGGAATCTATCTGAAAAACTGCTGTGTCATGTAAGTGTTCATTTCACAGAGGTAAACCATTATTTTCATTCATCTCTTTAGAAGCGGTGTTTTTGTAGAATCTGCAGAGTGATACTTCAGATAGCATTGAGGCATATGGTGAAAAGGAATCGTCTTCTAATAAAAACTGGAAAGAAGCTTTCTGAGAATCTGCCTTGTGATGTGTCCATTCATCTCACAGAGGTAAAATTTTCCTTGTGTTCAGCAGTTTGGAAAATATGAGTTTTACCGTTCTGTGAATGGACATTTTTGGGAGCTCATTGAGGCTGGTGGCAGAAAAGGGGATACCTCAGGATTAAAAGTAAAATGTATGTAAGAATCAGCTTTGTGATATGTGCATGCATTTCACAGAGTTAAACCTTTCTTTTCATTCAGCAGTTAGAAATCAATGATTTTGTAGAATCTGCAAAGGGTTATTTCAGAGAGTATTGTGACCTATGGTGAAGTAAGAAATATCTTCAGATAAAAACGAGAAATAAGCTTTCTGAGAAAGTGTTTTGTGACTTGGGCATTCATCTCACAGAGTTAAAGCTTCCTTTGGATTCAGTATTTTGGAGGAAGAGTTTTTGTCCATTCTGCGAATGGACATTTCGGAGCTCTTTGTGGTCAAATGCCAAAAAGGGAATATCCCTGAATAAAAACTAGAAGGAACCTATCTGAGAAACTGCTTTGTGATTGAGCATTCATTTCACAGTGTCAAACCATTCTTTTCATTCAGCTGTTTGGAAGCAGCGTTTTTTGTTTTTTTGTTTTTGTTTTTGTTTTTTTTTTTTTTTAACATATCATCCCTTTCAGCTTTATTTTTTTTTTGTATTTTTTTATTATACTTTAAGTTTTAGGGTACATGTGCACATTGTGCAGGTTAGTTACATATGTATACATGTGCCATGCTGGTGCGCTGCACCCACTAACTCGTCATCTAACATTAGGTATATCTCCCAATGCTATCCCTCCCCCCTACCCCCACCCCACAACGGTCCCCAGAGTGTGATATTCCCCTTCCTGTGTCCATGTGATCTCATTGTTCAATTCCCACCTATGAGTGAGAATATACACTGTTTGGTTTTTTGTTCTTGCGATAGTTTACTGAGAATGATGATTTCCAATTTCATCCATGTCCCTACAAAGGACATGAACTCATCATTTTTATGGCTC
>NC_000010.11:39239118-39254773 GCF_000001405.40 Homo sapiens
TTTCATCCATGTCCCTACAAAGGACATGAACTCATCATTTTTTATGGCTGCATAGTATTCCATGGTGTATATGTGCCACATTTTCTTAATCCAGGAAGCAGCGTTTTTAAAGTATCTGCAAAGGGATATTTCAGAGAGCACTGAGGCTGATGTAGAAAAAGGAAACATCTTCAGTTAAAAACTAGAAAGAAGCTTTCTGAGAAACTGCTCTGTGATGTGTGCATTCATTTCACAAGGGTAAAGCTTTCTTTGGATTCAGCAGGTTGGAAAATCTGTTTTTCACCTTTCTGTGAATGGACGTTTGGGAGCTCATTGAGGCCAGTGRCAATAAAGGAGATATCTCAGGGTGAAAAATAAAAGACAGGAATGTGAGAATTGGCTTTGTGATGTGAGCATTCATTTCACAAAGTTAAACCTTTCTTTTCATTCAGCAGTTAGAAATCACTGGTTTTGTAGAATCTGCAAAGGCTTATTTCCGAGAGTATTGGGGCCTATGGTGAAATAGGAAACAACTTCAGATAAAAACGAGAAAGAAGCTTTCTGAGAAACTGCTTTGTGATGTAGGTATTCATCTCACAGACTTAAAGCTTCCTTTGGATTCAGTAGTTTGGAAGCAGAGTTTTTGTCCATTCTGTTAATGGACATTTCAGAGCTCTTTGTGGACAATGGTGAAAAAGAGAATATCCCTGAATGAAAACTAGAAGAAGTCCATCTGAGAAACAGCTGTGTCATGTGGACATTCATTTCAGAGAGTTAAACCATTGTTTTCATTCAGCTGTTTAGAAGCAGTGTTTTGGTGGAATCTGCAAAGGCTTATTTTGGAGAGCATTGAGGCCTGTGGTGAAAAGGAAAAAAAACTTCTGTTAAAAACTAGAAAGAAGCTGTCTGGGAATGTCTTGTGATGTGTCCATCCATCTCACAGAGTTAAACTTTTCCTTTTTTCAGCAGTTTGGAAAATCTCTTTCTRTCTATTCTGCAAATGGATGTCTGGGAGCTCATTGAGGCCAGTGGCAAAAAAGGGGATATCCAAGGATTTCAGCATGAAGGCAGCTATCTGAGAAACCACTTTGTGATGTAAGCATGCATTTCACAGAGTTTAACCTTTCTTTTCATTCAGCAGTTAGAAATCACTGTTTTTTTTTTAATCTGCAAAGGCTTATTTCGGAGAGTATTGAAGCCTATGGTGAAATAGGAAACATCTTCAGATAAAAATGAGAAAGAAGCTTTCTGAGAAACTGCTTAGTGATGTGTGTATTCAACTAAGAGACTTCAAGCATTCTTTGGATTCAGTAGTTTGGAAGCACAGTTTTTATCCATTCTGTGAATGGACATTTTGCAGCTCTTTGGGGCCAATGTTGAAAAARCGATTATCCCTGAATAAAAACTAGAAGGAACCAATCTGAGAAACCAGTTTATGATGTGAACATTCATTTTGCAAAGTTAAACCATTCTTTCCATTCAACTGTTTGGAAGCAGTATTTTTACACAATCTGCAAAGTGATATATCAGAGAGCATTGTGGCCTGTGGTGAAAAAGGAAACATCTTCAGTTAAAAACTACAAAGAAGTTTTCTGAGAAACTGCTTTGTGATGTGTGCATTCATCTCACAGACTTCAAACTTTTTTGGGATTCAGTAGTTTGGAAACAGAGTTTTTATCCGTTCTGCAAATGGACATTTCAGAGCTCTTTGGGGCCAATGGCCAAAAAGCAAATATCCCTGAATAAAAACTAGGAGGAATCTATTTGAGACACTGCTTTGTGATGTTAGCCTTCATTTCACAGAACTAAACCATTCTTTTCATTCTGCTGTTTCTAAGCAGTATTTTTACAGAATCTGCAAAGGGATATTTTGGAGATCATTTAGGCCTATGGTGAAAAAGGAACATCTTCAGTTTAAAACTAGAAAGAAGCTTTCTGAGAAACTGCTTTGTGATGTGTGCATTCATCTCACAGAGTTAAAGCTTCCTTTGGATTCAGTAGTTTGGAAAATCTGTTTTTGTCCATTCTGCGAATGGACATTTGGGAGCTCTTTGAGGCCAGTTCCAAAAAAGGGTATATCTCAGGATTAAAACTAGAAGACAGGTATGTGAGAAACGGCTTTGTGATGTGAGCATTCATTTCACAGAGTTAAACCTTTCTTTTCATTCAGCAGTTAGAAATCACTGGTTTTGTACAATCTGCAAAGGGTTGTGTCAGAGAGTATTGTGGCTTATGGTGAAATAGGAAACATCTTCAGATAAAAATGAGAAAGAAGCTCTCTGAGAAACTGCTTGGTGATGTGTGCATTCATCTCAGACACTTCAAGCTTTTTTTGCATTTAGTAGTTTGGAAGCAGAGTTTGTGTCCATTCTGTGAATGGACATTTCAGAGCTCTTTGGGGCCAAAGGCCAAAAAATGAATATACCTGAATAAAAACTAGGAGGAATCTATATGAGAAATTGCTTTGTGATGTAAGCATTCATTTCACAGTGTTAAACCATTCTTTTCATTCGTCTGTTTGGAAGCAGTACTTTTACAGAATCTGCAAAGGGATATTTCAGAGAGCATTGAGGCCTACAGTGAAAAAGCAAACATCTTCAGTTAAAAACTAGAAAGAAGCTTTCTGAGAATCTGCCATGTGATATGACCATTCGTCTTACAGAGTTAAGCCTTTCCTTTTATTCAGCAGTTTGGAAAATCTGTTTTTGTCCATTCTGCGAATGGACATTCAGGAACTCATTGAGGATGGTGCAAAAAAGGGGATATCTCAGGATCAAAACTAGAAGATAGGTATGTGAGATTCAACTTTTTGACGTGAACATTCATTTCAGAGATTTATACCTTTCTTTTCATTCAGCAGTTACAAATCACTGGTTTTGTAGGATCTGAAAAGGGTCATTTTGGAGAGTTTTCTGGCCTATGGTGAAATATTAAACATCTTCAGATAAAAACGAGAAAGAAGCTTTCTGAGAAACTGCTTTGTGTTGTGTGCATTCATCTCACAGAGTTAAAGCTTCCTTTGGATTCAACAGTTTGGAAGGAGAGTTTTTGTCCTTTCTGCGAATGGATATTTCAGAGCTCTTTTGGGCTAATGGCCAAAAAGTGAATATCCCTGAATAAAAACTAGATGGAATCTATCTGAGAAACTGCTGTGTCATGTGAGCATTCATTTCACAGAGTTAAACCATTCTTTTCATTCAGCTGTTTGGAAGCAGTGTTTTTGTAGAATACTCAAAGGGCTATTTTGGAGAGCATTGAGGCCTATGGTGAAAAGGAAATATCTTCTGTTAAAAACTGGAAAGAAGCTTTCTGAGAATCTGTCTTGTGATGTGTCCTTTCATCTCATAGAGTAAACGTTTCCTTGTATGCAGCACTTTGGAAAATCTGTTTTTGTCCATTCTGCATGTGGAYATTTGGGAGCTCTTTGAGGCCAGTGACATAAAAGGGGATATCCCAGGATTACATCTAGAAGGCAGCTATCTGAGGAAGCTCTTTGTGATGTTAGCTTGTATTTCACAGAGTTAAACCTTTCTTTTCATTCAGCAGTTAGAAATCACTGTTTTTGTAGAATCTGCAGAGAGTTATTTTGGAGAGTTTTGTGGCCTATGGTGAAATAGAAAATGTTTTCAGATAAAAATGACAAAGAAGCATTCTGAGAAACTGCTTTATGTGTGTCTTCATCTCACAGGTTTAACGCTTTCTTTGAATTCAGTAGTGTGGAAACACAGGTTTTGTTCATTCTGTGAATGGACATTTCATAGCTCTTTGGGGCCAATGGTGAAAAAGTGAATATCCCTGAATAAAAACTAGAAGGAATCAATCACAGAAACCATTGTGTCATGTGAACATTCATTTCATAGATTTAAACCATTATTTTCATTCAGCTGTTAGGAAGCAGTTTTTTTGTAGAATCTCCAAAGTGATATTTCAGAGAGCATTGAAGCCTATTGTGAAAAAGAAAACAACTTCTGTTAAAAACTGGAAAGAAGCTTTTTGAGAATCTGCCTTGAGATGTGTTCATTCATCTCACAGTGTTAAACTTTTCTTTGGATTCAGCATTTTGGAAAATCTGTTTTTGTCCATTCTGTGAATTGACATTTCGGAGCTCATTGAGGTCAGTGGCAAAAAAGGGAATATCCCAGGATTAAAATAAGAAGACAGCTATCTAAGAAATGGCTTTGTGACATGGGCATGCATTTCACAGATTTCAGCTTGTCTTTTCATTCAGCAGTTAGAAATCCCTGTTTTTGTAGAATCTGCAAAGGGTTATTTCATAGAGTATTGAGGCCTATGGTGAAATAGGAATCATCTTCAGATAAAAAGGAGAAAGAAGCTTTCTGAGAAACTGCTTCATGATGTGTGCATTCATCTCACAGTCTTAAAGCTTTCTTTTGATTTAGTAGTTTGGAAACACAGTTTTTGTCTGTTCTGAGAATGGACATTTCAGACCTCTTTGGGACCAATAGCAAAAAAGTGAATATCCCTGAATAAAAACTAGAAGAAATCTATTTGAGAAACTGCTTTTTGATGTGAGCATTCATTTCGTAAAGTTAAACCATTCTTTTCATTCAGCTGTTTGGAAGCAGTGTTTCTATGGAATCAGCAAAGCAATATTTCAGAGAGCATTGGAGCCTATGTTGAACAAGCAAATATCTTCCATTACAAACTAGAAAAAGCTTTCTGAGGAACTGCTTTGTGATGCATTCATTGATCTCACATACTTAAAGCTTTCTTTTTATTTAGTAGTTTGGAAACAGATTTTTGTCCATTCTGCAAATGGACGTGTTGGAGCTCTTTGGGGCCAAAGGCGAGAAATGGAATATCCCTGAATAAAAACTAGAAGGAATCTCTCTCAGAAACTGCTTTGTGATGTGAGCATTCATTTCACACAGTTACACCATTCTTTTAATTCATCTGTTTGAAAGCATTGTTTTTACAGAACATGCAATGGGATATTTTGGAGAGCATTGAGTACTACGGTGAAAAAGGAAACATCTTTAGTTTAAAACTAGAAAAAAGCTTTCTGAGAAACTGCTTTGTGATGTGTGCATTCATCTCACAGACTTACAGCTTTCTTTGGGTTCAGCAGTTTGGAAAATATGTTTTTGTCCATTCTGTGAATGGACATTTGGGAGCTCTTTGAGGCCAATGGCAAAAAAGGGGACATCCCAGGATTAAAACTAGAAGACAGCTATGTGAGAAATGACTTTGCAATGTGAGCATTCATTTCACAAAGTTAAAACTTCCTTTTCATTCAGCAGTTAGAAATCACTTGTTTTGTAGAATCTACAAAGGGTTATTTTGGAGAGTATTGTGGCCTATGGTGAAGTAGAAATCATCTTCAGAWAAAAACGAGAAAGAAACTTTCTGAGAAACTGCTTTGTGATGTGCGAATTCATCTCACAGAGTTAAAGCTTCGTTTGGATTCAGTAGTTTGGAAAAATCTGTTTTTCTCCATTTGGCAAATAGACATTTGGGAACTCTTTGAGGCCTATGGTAAAAAGGGAATATTCCAGTATTAAAACTAGAAGGCAGGTATCTGAGAAACTGCTTTGTGATGAGAGCATTCATTTCACAGGCTTAAACCTTTCTTTTCAGTCAGGTGTTTGGAAACAGTGTTTTTGTAACATCTGCAAAGCTATGTTTTGGAGATCCTTGAGGCGTGCGGTGAAATAGGAAACATCTTCAGATAAAAATTAGAAAGAAGCCTTCTGAGAAACTGCTTTGTGAGGTGTGCATTCGTCTCACAGAGTTAAACCTTTCTTTGGATTCAGCAGTTTTGAAACACGGTGTGTGTCAACTCAGTGAATGGACATTTAAAGCGCTTTGAGGCCAACTGTGAAAATCGGAATATCCAACGACAAAAACTAGAAGGAAGGTGTCTGAGAAACTGCTCTGTGATATGCTCATTCATCTCACACAGTTAAATCATTTTTTTTCATTCAGCAATTTAAAACCCTGTTTTTGTACAATGTGCAAAGGGATATTTTGGAGAGCATTGAGGCCTATGGTAAAAGAGGAAATGTCTTCAGAGAAAAACTAGAAAGAAACTTTCTGAGAGACTGCTTTGTGAAGTGTCCATTCATCTCACAGACTTAAAGCTTTCCTTAAATCCAGTAGTTTGGAAACACAGCTTTTGTCCATTCTGTGAAAGGACATTTCGGAGCTCTTTGGTACCAATGGTGMAAAAGCAAATATCCCTAAATAGAAACTAGAAGTAATCTATCTGAGAAGCTGCTTTGTGATGCGAGCATTCATTTCACAGAGTTAAACCATTATTTTCATTCAGCTCTTCGGAAATAGTGATTCTGTAGAATCTGCAAATGTATAGTTCAGAGAACATTGAGGTCTATGGTGAAAAAGGAAATATCTTCAGTTAAAAATTAGGGAGAAACTTTCAGATAAATGGCCTTGTGAAGTCTGCATTCATCACACAAATTTAATCATTTCTTTTGATTCAGCAGTTTGGAAAATCTGTTTTTGTCCATTCTGTGAATGGAAATTTTGGAGCTCATTCAGTTCACTGACAGAAAAGGGAATATCCCAGGATTAAAACTAGAAGGCAGCTGTCTGAGAAACTGCTTTGTGATGTGAGCATTCATTTCACAGATTTAAAACTTTCTTTTCATTGAGCAGTTAGAAATCATTGTTTTTGTAGAATCTGCAAACGGTTATTTCGGAGAGCATGAGTCCTATGATAAAAAAGGAACCATCTTCATGAAAAACTAGAAAGAAGCTTTCTGAGATACTGCCTTGTGATGTGTGCATTCATCTCACAGAGATAAACTTTTCTTTGCATTCAGCAGTTTTGAAACACTGTTTTTGTCCACTCAGTGAATGGACATTTGGGATCCAATTGAGGCCAAAGGCAAAAAAGGGAATATCCCAGGATGAAAAACTAGAAGGAAGCTATCTGAGAAATCACTTTGTGATATGTGCATTCATCTCATAGTGTTAAAACACGCTTTCCATACAGCAGCTTGAGAACTCTGTTTTTGTGGAATCTGGAAAGGGATATTTCAGAGTGCTTTGAGGCCTATGGTAATAAAGGAAACCTCTTCAGATAAGAACAAGAAAGAGGCTCTCTGAGAAACTGCTTTGTGATGAGTGCATTCATCTCACAGAGTTAAGCCTTTCTCTGGATTCACTAACTTGCAAAGAGTGTTTTTTTCCATTCTGCGAATGGATATTTTGTACTTCGTTGAGGCCAATGGCAAGAAAGCTAATATGCTAGAATAAAAACTAGAAGGAAGCTATCTGAAAAACTGATTTGTGATGTGCGTATTCATATCGCAGATCAAAGCTTTATTTTTGTACAGCAGTTGGCAAACTGTGTTTTGTAGATTCTGCAAAGGGATATTTTGGAGAACATTGAGGCCCATTGTGAAAAGGAAACATCTGCAGATAAAAACTGGAAAGAAACTTTCTGAGAAACTGCCTTGTGATGTGTGCACTCATCTCATAGGGTTAAACCTTTCATTTCAACATGTAGTTTGGAAACACTGTTTTTGTGGAATCACAAAGGGATAATTCAGAGAGCATTGAGGCCTGTGGTGAAATAGGAAACATCTCCAGAGAAAAATGAGAAAGCAGTTTTCTGAGAAACTGCTTTGTGATGTGTCCATCTCACAGAGGTAAATGTTTCTTTGCATTCAGCAGTTTGAAACACGTTGTTTATCAACTCAGCAAATGGACATTTGGGTGCAGTTTGAGGTCAATTGTGAAAATGGGAATACCCCAGGATAAATACCAGAAGGAACATATCCAAGAAACGGCTTTGTGGTATGTTCATTCATCTCACAGAGCTAAATCATTCTTTTCATTCAGCAATTTGGAAAGACTGTTTTTGTAGAATCTGCAAAGGGATATTTCAGAGAGCACTGAGGCCTATGGTAAAAAAGGAAACATCTTCAGAGAAAAACTAGAAAGAAACTTTCTGAGAAAATGTTTTGTGATGTGTGCATTCATCTCACAGACTTAAATCTTTCTTTGGATTCAATAGTTTGGAGACAAAGTTTTTGTCCATTCTGCGAATGGACACTTTGGAGCCTTTTGGGGCCAATTGTGAAAAAGTGAATATCCCTGAATAAAAACTAGAAGAAATGTAGCTGAGAAACAACTTTGTGATGTGAGCATCCATTTCACAATGTTAAACCATTATGTTCATTCAGCTGTTTAGAAACAGTGTTTTTGAAGAATGTGCAAATGTATATTTTGGAGAGCATTGAGGCTTATGGTGAAAAAGGAAATATCTTCAGTTAAAAACCAGAAAGAAGCTTTCTGAGAAACTTCCTTGTGACGTGTGCACTCATCCCACAGAATTAAACCTTTCTTTGGATTCAGCAGTTTGGAAAATCTATTTTTGTCCATTCCGTGAATGGACTTTGGAGCTCGTTGAGGCCAATGGCAAAAAAGGGAATATCCCAGGATTAAAACTAGAAGGCTGCTATCCGAGAAACTTCTTTATGATGTAAATATTTATTTCGCAGAGTTAAATCTTCCATTTCATTCAGCAGTTAGGAATCACTGTTTTTGTAGAATCTGCAAAGGGTTATTTCAGAGAGTACCGATGCCTATGGTGAAATAAGAAACATCTTTGGATAAAAACTAGAAAGAAAATTTCTTAGAAACAGCTTTGTAATGTGTGCATTCATCTCGCAGATTTAAACCTTTGCTTTTACTCAGCAGTTTTGAAACACTGTTTTTGTCCACTGATCGAATGGACATTTTGCAGCTCATTGAGGCCAATGGCAAAAAAGGGAATAACAGATGATAAAAACTAGAAGAAAGGTACTTGAGAAAGAGCTTTGTGAGGTGTTCATTCATCTCACAGATTTAAAACACGATTTTCATACAGTAGTTTGGAAACACTGTTTTTGCTGAAGCTGCAAAGTGATATTTAGAAGAGCATCGAGGCCTATCATAAAAAAGGAAACATCTTCAGATAAAAAGTAGAAAGAAGTTCTCTGAGAAACTGCTTTGTGATGTAAGCATTCATCTCACAATGTTAAACATTTATTTGAATTCAGTAATTTGGAAAGACTGTTTTTGTCCATTCTGTGAAAGGACATTTTGTTCTTTGCTGATGCCAAAGGCGAAAAAACTGATGTCCTAGAATGAAAACTAGAAGGAAGCTATCTGAGAAACTGCTTTGTGATGTGTGCATTCACCTAGCAGATTTAAAGCTTTCTTTTCATACAGCAGTTTGGAGACGGTGTTTTGTAGAATCTGTGAAGGGATACTTTGGAGAGCATTGAGGCCTACGGTAAAAAAGGAAATATCTTCAGATAAAAAGTACAAACAAACTTTCTGAGAAACTGCCTTGTGATGTTTGAGTTCATCTCACAGAGGCAAACTTTTCTTTGGATTCAGCAGCTTGGAAAATWTGTTTTTGTCAATTCTGCAAATGGACATTTGGGAGCTAATTGGGACAAATGGCAATAAAGGGAATATCCCAGGATTAAAACTAGAAGGAAGCTATCTGAGGAACCGCATTGTGATGAAAGCATTCATCTCACAGAGATAAACCTTTCTTTTCATCAACAGTTTGGAAACACTGTTTTTGTAAAATCTGCAAGGGGTTATTTCGCAGAGTATTGAGGCCTACAGTGAAATAGGAAACATCGCCATATGAAAACTAGAAATATTTCTGAGAAACTGCTTTGTGTCATGTGCATTCATCTCATAGAGTTAAACCTTCTTTGTATTCAGCAGTTTTCCAACACTGTTTTTGTCCATTCAGTGAAAGGACATTTGGGGGCTCTCTGAGGCCAAAGGCGAAAATGGGAATAACCCATTATAAAAACCAGAAGGCAGCTATCTTAGAAACCACTTTGTAATGTGCACATTCATCTCACAGAGTTAAACCTTCCTTTTCATTCAGCAGTTTGGAAACACTGTTTTCATAGAATATGCAAAGGGATACTTCAAGAGCATTGAGGCCTATGGTGGAATAGGAAACATCTTCAGATAAAAACTAGAAAGCTTTCTGAGAAACTGCTTTGTGATGTGTGCATTCATCTCACAGAGTTAAATCTTTCTTTGGATTCAGCAGCTTTGAAACACAGTGTTTGTTAACTCAGTGAATAGACATTTTGGGGTGCTTTGAGACTCACTGTGAAAATAGGAATATTCCAGGACTAAATATCCAGGGAATATCCCTGGGCTAAGACAGTTTTTCAAAACTCTTGAATCCAATTAAAGGCTTACCTCTGGGAGATGAATGCATACATCACAACGCTGTTTCTCAGAAAGCTTCTTTCTAGTTTTTATCAAGATGTCTCGTTTTTCACCATAGGAGACAATGATATCTGAAATATCCCTTTGCCAATTCTAGAAAACACTGTTTCCATACTGCTGTATGACAAGAAATCTTTAACTCTGTGAGATGAATGCACACATTGCAAAGCAATTTATCATATAGCTTCTTTCTAGTTTTTATTCTAGGATATTAGCTTCTACATCATTGGCCTCAACAAAGTACGAAATGTCCATTTGCAGAGAGGACAAAAACAGTTTTTCTAAATTACTGAATGCAAAGAAAGGTTTCACTCTGTGAGATGAATGCACACTTCACAAATCACTTTCTCAGAAAGCTTCTTTCTAGTTTTTCTCTGAAGATGTTTCCTTACTATAGGCCTCAATGCTCTCTGAAACGTCCCCTTACAGATTCTACAAAACACTGTTTCCACACTGCTGTATGAAAAGAAAGTTTTAACTCTGTGAGATTAATGCTCACATCACAAAGCGATTTCTCAGATATCATCTTTCTGATTTTTGTTCTAGGATATTACCTTTTTCGCCATTGCACTCAAAGAAGTACAAAATGTCCAGTCACAGAATGGACAAAGACACTCTTTCCAAATTAATGAATCCAAAGAAAGGTTTAACTCTGTGAAATGAATGTTCACATCACAAAGCAGTTTTTCTGTTTGAATCCTGGGGTATTCCCTTTTTTGCCATTGGCCTCAATGAGCTCCCAAATATCCATTTGCAGAATGGACAAAAAACAAGTTTTCCGAACTGCTGAATCCAAAGAAAGGTTTCACTCTGTGAGATGAATGCACAAATCACAAGGCAGTTTCTCAGAAAGCTTCTTTCTAGTTTTTAACTGATGATGTTTCCTTTTTCACCATAGGCCTCAATGCTCTCCGAAATATCCCTTTGCAGATTCTTCGAAACACTGCTTCCAAACTGCTGTACAAAAAGAAAGCTTTAACCCTGTGAAATGAATGCTCACATCACAAAGCCGTTTCTCAGATAGWTTCCTTCTGGTTTTTATTCTGTGATGTTGGCTTTTTTTGCCATTGACCTCAAAGAGCTCTGAAATATCCATTCACAGAATGGACAAAAACACTCTTTCCAAATTACAGAATCCAAAGAAAGGTTTGACTCTGTGAGGTGAATGCCCACCTGTCAAACCAGGTTCTCAGAAAGATTCTTTCTAGTTTTTTTTAAATTATACTTTAAGTTTTAGGGTACATGTGCACAACATGCATGTTTGTTACTTATGTATACACGTACCATGCTGGTGTGCAGCACCCATTAACTCGTCATTTAACATTAGGTATATCTCCTAATGATAGCCCTCCCCCTCTTCCCACTCCACAACAGTCCCCAGAGTGTGATGTTCCCCTTCCTGTGTCCATGTGTTCTCATTGTTCAACTCCCACCTGTGAGTGAGAACATGTGGCGTTTGGTTTTTTGTCCTTGCGATAGTTTGCTGAGAATGATGGTTTCCAGCTTCATCCATGTCCCTACAAAGGACATGTACTCATCCTTTTTTATGGCTGCATAGTATTCCATGGTGTATATGTGCCACATTTTCTTAATCCAGTCTATCATTGTTGGACATTTGGGTTGGTTCCAAGTCTTTGCTATTGTGAATAGTGTTGCAATAAACATACGTGTGCATGTGTCTTTATAGCAGCATGATTTATAATCCTTTGGGTATATACCCAATAGTGGGATTGCTGAGTCAAACGGTATTTCTAGTTCTAGTTCCCTGAGGAATCACCACACCGACTTCCACAATGGTTGAACTAGTTTACATTCCCACCAACAGTGTAAAAGTGTTCCTATTTCTCCACATCCTCTCCAGTACCTGTTGTTTCCTGATTTTTAATGATCACCATTCTAAGTGGTGAGACATGGCATCTCATTGTAGTTTTGATTTGCATTTCTCTGATGGCCAGTGATGATGAACATTTTTTCATGTGTTTTTTGGCTGCATGAATGTCTTCTTTTGAGAAGTGTCTGTTCATATCCTTTGCCCACTTTTTGATGGGGTTGTTTGTTTTTTCTTGTAAATTTGTTTGAGTTCATTGTAGATTCTGGATATTAGCCCTCTGTGAGATGAATAGGTTGTAAAAATTTTCTCCCATTTTGTAGGTTGCCTGTTCACTCTGATGGTAGTTTCTTTTGCTGTGCAGAAGCTCTTTAGTTTAATTAGATCCCATTTGTTAATTTTGTCTTTTGTTTCCATTGCTTTTGGTGTTTTAGAAATGAAGTCCTTGTCCATGCCTATGTCCTGAATGGTATTGCCTAGGTTTTCTTCTAGGGTTTTTATGGCTTTAAGTCTAACATGTAAGTCTTTAGTCCATCTTGAATTAATTTTTGTATAAGGTGTAAGGAATGGATCCAGTTTCAGCTTTCTACATATGGCTAGCCAGTTTTCCCAGCACCATTTATTAAATAGGGAATCCTTCCCCCATTTCTTGTTTTTGTCAGGTTTGTCAAAGATCAGATAGTTGTAGATATGGGGCATTATTTCTGAGGGGTCTAGTTTTTATCTGAAGATGTTTCCTTTTTCAATGAAGGCCTCATTTCTCTCTGAAAGAAACCTTTCCAGATTCTTCAAAACAGTTTTTCCAAAATGCTGTATAAGAAGATAGATATGTTAAACTCTTCGTGTTGAATGCACACATCAAAATAGGTTTCTGAGATAGGCTTCATCTAGTTTTTATTCTGGGATATTCATTTTTTTGCCATTGGCCCCAATGAGGTCCCAAATGTCTGTTCACAAAATGGACACAAACAGTGTTTCCAAACAGATGAATCCAAAGAAAAGTTTATCTCTGTGCCATGCATGCACACATCTCAAAGCAGTTTCTCAGAACGCTTCTTTCTAGTTTTATCTGAGATGATTCCTTTTTTAAGATAGGCCTCAATGCTCTGAAATATCCCTTTGCAGATTACACAAAAACAGTTTTTCCAATCTGCTGAATGAAAAGAAAGGTTTAACTCTGTGAGAGGTATGCACACATCCCACAGCAGATTCTCAAATAGCTTAAGTGTACTTTTTATCCTGGGATATTCTATTTTTTGTCACTGGCCTCACTGAGCCCTCAAATGTCCATTAGCAAAATGGACAAAAGCACTCTTTCAACACTACTGAATTCAAAGAAAGTTTTAACTCTGTGAGATGAATGCACACATCACAAAGCAGTTTCTCAGAAAGTTTCTTTTTAGATTTTAACTGAAGATGAATCCTTTTTCACCATAGGCCTCAATACCACAGAAATATCCATTTCCAGATTCAATAAAAAAAGGGTTTCCAAATTACTGAATGAAAAGCATGGTTTAAATTTGTGAGATGAATGCCCACAACACAAAGCAGTTTCTCAGATAGCTTCCTTGTAGTTTTTATTCAGGGATATTCCATTTTTCTCAATTGGCCTCAATGAGTTCCCAAACATCCTTTTGCTAAGTGGACAAAAACAGTGTTTCAAAACTGCTGAATCCATAGAAAGATTTAACTCTCTGAGCTGAATGCACACATCACAAAGCAGCTTCTCAGAAAGCTTCTGTCTAGTTTTCATCTGAAGATGTTTCCTATTTCACCATAGACCTCAATACTCTCCGAAATAACCCTTTGCATATTCTACAAAAATGGTCTTTCCAAACTGCTGAATGAAATAAAAAGTTTATCTCTGTGAAATGAATGCTCACATTGCAAAGTGCTTTCTCAGATAACTTCCTTCTAGTTTTAATCCCGGGATTTTCACTTTTTTGCCATGGCCTCAATGAGCTCCCAAATATCCATTCATAGAATGGACAAAAACAGTGTTTCCAAACTACTCAATGCAAAGAAAGTTTCAAATCTGTGAGGTAAATGCACACATTGCAAAGCAGTTTCTCGGAAAGCTCATTTCTGGTTTTTATCTTAAGATATTTCCTTTTTCATTGTAGTCCTCAATGATCTCCCAAATATCCCTATGCAGATTCAATAAAAACTAAGTTTCCAAAATACTGAAAGAAAAGAAAGATTTAACTGTGTGAGATGAATGCACACATCACATAGCAGTTACACAGATATTTTCCATCTACTTGTTATCCTGGGATATCCCTTTTTCACCATTGGCATAAATGAGCTCCCAAATGGCTGTATGCAGAATGGACAAGAACAGTGTTTCCAAAGTGTTGAATCCAAAGTAACGTTTAACTCTCTGAGATGAATGCACACATCACAAAGCAGTTTCTCTGAAAGCTTCCTTCTAGCTTTTATCTGAAGATGTTTCCTTTTTCACCATAGGCCTCAATGCTCTAAGAAATGTCCCTTTGCAGTTTCTACAAAGACACTGTTTCCAAACTGTTGAATGATAAAGAATGTTTAAATCTGTGAGATGAATGCACACATCACATGGCAGTTTCTCAGAAAGCCTCTGTCTACTTTTTATCCAGGGAAATTCTTTTTTTCTCCATTGGCCTCAATAAGCTCCCAAATGTCCATTAGCAGCATGGACAAAAACATTGTTTCCAAACTACTGAGTCAAAAGAAAAATTTATCTCTGTGAGATGAATGGACACATCACAAAGCAGTTTCTCAGAAAGCTTCTTTCTACTTTTTATCTGAAGATGTTTCCTTTTTCACCATAGGCCTCAATGCTCTCCAAAATATCCCTTTGCAGATCCTACAAAAACACTGTTTCCAAAATGCTGTATGAAAAGTAAGTTTTAACTCTTCGAGATCAATGCACACATCACAAAGCGATTTCTCAGATAGCTTCCTTCTAGTATTTATCCTGGGATATTCGATTTTTCACCGTTAGGCTCAATGAACTCCCAAACTCCCATTCACAGAATGGACAAAAACAGTATTTCCAAAATGCTGAATCCAAATAAAGGTTTAACTCAGTGAGATGAATGCACACATTACAAAGCAGTTTCTCAGAAAGGTTCTTTATACTTTTTATCTGAAGACGTTTCCTCTTCCAGCATATGCCTCAAAGCTCTCTGAAATATGCCTTTACCGATTCTACAAAAACCATGTTTCCAAACTGCAGAATCCAAAGAAAGGTTTAACTCTTTGAGATGAATGCACACATCAAAAAGCAGTTTCTCAGAAAGTTTCTTTCTAATTTTTAGATGAATATGTTTTCTTTTCCAACATAGGCCTCCATGCTCTCCAAAATATCCTGTTGCAGATTCTACAAAAAGAGTGTTTTGAAACAACTGAATGAAAAGTAAGGTTTGACTCTGAGAGATGAATGCACATATCACATAGCCCTTTCTCAGATAGATTCCTTCTAGTGTATATCCTGGGATATTCCCTTTTTTGCCATTGGCCTCAATGAGCTCCCAAATGTCCATTCACAGAATGGAAAAAATAGTGTTTCCAAACTCCTGAATCTAAAGAAAGGTTTAACTCTGTCAGATGAATATACACAGTGCAAAG
>NC_000010.11:39254793-39338430 GCF_000001405.40 Homo sapiens
TTCCAGAAGGAACAAAAACAGTGTTTCCAAACTACTGAATCCAAAGAAAGTTTTAAGTCTGTGAGATGAATGCATGCATCACAAAGCATTTACTCAGGAAATTTCTTTCTAGTTATTTTCTGTAAGTGTTTCCTTTTCCAGCATAGGATGCAATGGTCTCTGAAATATCCCTTTGCAGATTCAACAAAAATAGTTTTCCAAACTGCTGAATCCAAAGAAAGGTTTAACTCTGTGAGATGAATGGACACATCACAAAGCACCTTCTCAGAATGCTTCTTTCTATTTTATCTGAAGATGTATCTTTTTTCACCACAGGCCACAATGCTCTCCAAAATATCCCTTTACAGTTTCTACACAATACTGTTTACAAACTGTTGAATGAACAGAAAAGTTTAAATCTGTGAGATGAATGTACAAATCACATAGAAGATTCTCAGATAGCTTCCATCTACTTTTTTCCAGGGATATTTGCTAATTCCCCATCGGCCTAAATGAGATCAGAAATGACCATTTGCAGAATGGAAGAAAACAGTGTTTCCAAACGGCTGAATCCAAAGATATATTTAACTCTATGAGATGAATGCTGACATCACATAGCAGTCTCTCATATAGCTTCCGTCTTGCTTTTATCCTAGGATATTCGCTAATTCCCTGTTGGCTTCAATGAGCTCCAAAATGTCCATTTGCAGAATGGACAAAAACAATGTTTCCAAACTGCAGAATCCATAGAAAGCTTTAACTCTGTGAGATGAATGTACACATCTTAAAGGAGTAACTCAAAGCATCTTTCTAGTTTTTATTTGAAGATATTTACTTTTCCAGCATAGACCTCAATGCTCTCTGAAAAATCCCTTTGCAGATTCTACAAAAGCAATGTTTCCAAACTGCAAAATCCAAAGAAACTTCTAACTCTCTGAGTTGAATGCACACATGAGAAAGCAGTTTCTCAGAAAGCTTCTTTCTAGTTTTTATCTGAAGATGTTTACTTTTGCACCATAGGCCTCAATGCTCTCTGAAATATCCCTTTTCAGATTCAACAAAAACAGTGTCTCCAAACTGCTGAATGAAAAGGGAGGTTTAACTCTGTGAGATTAATGCACACATCACAGAGCAGTTTCTCAGAAAGCTTCCTTCTAGTTTTTATCCTGGGATATTTGCTTTTTGGCATTGGCCTCAAAGAGATCCCAAATATCCATTCCAAGAATGGACAAAAACAGTGTTTCCAAACTACTGAATCCAAAGAAATGTTTATCTCTGTGAGATGAATGCACACATCAAAAAACGGTTTCCCAGAAAGCTTCCTTCTAGTTTTTATCTGAAGATATTTCCTTTTTCACCCTAGGCCTCAATGCTCTCTGAAATATCCCTTTGGAGATTCTACAAACACAGTGTTTCCAACTACTGAATGAAAAGAAATGTATAATTCTGTGAGTGAGTTGAATGCACACATGACAAAGCAGTTTCTCAGATAGATTCCTTGTAGTTTTTATCCTGGGATATTCACTTTTTCTCCATTGACCTCAATGAGCCCTCAAATGCCGAGTAGCAGAACGGATAAAAGGAGTTTTTCCAAACTGTTGTATCCAAAGAATATTTTAACACTGTCAGATGAATGCATACATCAAAAACCACTTTCTCAGAAGGCTTCATTCTAGTTTTTATCTGAAGATGTTTCCTTTTGCCCATAGTCCTCAATTTTCTCTGAAATAAACCTTTGCAGATTCTACAAAAACAGTGTTTCCAAATTGCTGAAAGAAATGAAAGTTTTAATTCTGGAAAATGAATTCACCCATCACATAGCAATTTCTAAGATAGCTTCCTTCTACTTTTTATACTGGGATATCCATGTTTTCCCCATTGGCCACAATGAGTCATCAAATGGCCTTTCACAGAATGGACAAAAACAGTGTTTCCAAACTGCTAAACCCAAAGAAAGTTTTAACTCTGAGATTAATGCTCACATCACAAAGTAGTTTCTAGGAAAATTTCTTTAAGTTTTTTATCTGAATATGTTTCCATTTCACCTTAGGCCTAAATGCTATCTGAAATATCCCTTTGGAGATATTACAAAAAGAGTGTTTCCAAACTGCTGAATGAAACGAAAGGTTTAACTCTGTGAGATGAATGCACACATCACATTGCAGTTTCTCAGATTCCTTCCATCTAGTTTTTGTCCTTGGATATTTGCTTTTTTGCCATTGACCTCAATGAGCTCCCAAATGTCCATTTGCCAAATGAAAAAAAATCCTCTTTCCAAACTCTTGAATCCAAAAAAAGTTTTAGTTCTGTGAGATGAATGTCCATATAACAAAGCAGTTTCTCAGGAACCTTCTTTCTAGTTTTTATCTGAAGATGTTTCCTATTTCACCATAGGCCTCAGTTCTCTCTGAAATACACCTTTGCACTTTCTACAAAAACAGTGTTTCCAAATTGCTGAATGAAAATAAAGGTTTACCTCTGAGAGATGAATGCACACATTGCAAAGCACTTTCTCAGACAGCCTCCTTATAGTTTTATCATGGGATAATCACGTTTTCACCATTGGGTTCAATGAGCTCCTAAATGTCCATTCACAGAATGGACAAAAACACTTTCCAAACTGAGAAATCAAAGAAAGGTTTAACTCTGTGAGATGAATGCACTCATCACAAAGCAGTTTCTCTAAAACATTCTTTCTATTTTTATCTGAAGACATTTCCTTTCTCACAACAGGCCCCAATGCTATTCGAAGTATCCCTTTGCAGATTCTAAAAGAACAGTGTTTCCAAACTGCTGAAAGAAAGAAAGGTTTAAATCTGTGAGATGAATTCATGCATCAGGTAGCAGTTTCTCAGATAGCTTCCTTCTAGTTTTCATCCTTGGATATTTCCTTTTCTGTCTTTTGCCTCAATCAGCTCCCAAATGTCCATTCGAAGAATGGATAAAAGCAGTGTTTCCAAATTACTGAACCCAAAGAAAAGTTTAACTCTGTAAGATGGATGCACACAGTTTCTCAGAAAGCTTTTTCCAGTTTTTATCTGAAGATATTTCCTTTTTCACCATAGGCCTCAATGCTCTCCAAAATATTACTTTGCTGCTTCTACAAAAACACTGCTTCCAAACTGTTGTATGAAAAAAAAAAAACCTTTAACTCTGTGAGGAGAATGCACACACCACAAAGCAGTTTATCAGATAGCTTCCTTCTAAATTTTGTCCTGGGATATTTGATTTTTTGCCTTTACCCATAGTGAACTCAAAAATGTCCATTCACAGAATGGACAAAAACACTCTTTCCAAACAACTGAATTCAAAGAAATGGCTAATTCTGTGAGATGAATGCACACATCACAAAGCAGTTTCTCAGAAGGCTTCTTTCTAGTTTTTATCTAAAGATGTTTCCTTTTTACCATAGGCTTCAATGCTGTCCAAAATATCCCTTTGGAGATACTAAAAAAAAACTGTATATCCAAACTGCTGAATGAAAAGAAAGGTTGAACTTTGTGAGATGAGTGCACACATCACAAAGCAATTTCTCAGATAGCTTCCTTCTAGTTTTTACCCTGGGATATTCACTTTTTTGCCTTTAACCTCAATGAGTTCCCAAATGTCCAGTTGCAGAATGGACAAAAACGTGTTTCCAAACTACTGAATCCAAAGAAAGGTTTAAGTATGTGAGACGAATGCAGACATCACAAAGCAGTTTCTCAGAAAACTTCTTTCTTTTTTTTTCTGTAATTTTTTCCTTTTTCATCATAGTCCTCAATGCTCTCCAAAATATCCCCTTGCAGATTCTACAATAACAGTGTTTCCAAACTGCTGAATGAAAAGAAAGTTTTATCTCTGTGAAATTAATGCAAACATCACATAGCAGTTTCTCAGATAGCTTCCATCTAGTTTTCATCCTGGGATATTCACTTTTTTGCCATTGGCCTCAATGAGCTCCCAAATGTCCATTTGCAGAATGGAAAAAAACTGTCTTTCCAAACTACTGAATCAAAAGAAAGGTTTCGCTCTGTCAGGTGAATGCACACATCATCCAGCAGTTTCTCAGAAAGCTTCTTTCTAGTTTTTATCTGAAGTTGTTTCCTTTTTCACCATAGCCCCAGTCCCCTCCAAAATATCCCTTTGCAGATTCTACAAAAACAATGTTTCCAAACTGATGAATGAAAATAAAGTTTTAAAAATCTAAGGTGAATGCACACATACTAAAGCAGTTTCTCAGATAACTTCCATTTATTTTTTATCCTTGGGTAATTCACTTTTTCGCCATTGGCCTCAATGAGTTTCCAAATGTCCATTCACAGTATGGACAAAAACAATTTATGCAAACTGCTGAGTTCAAAGAATGGTTTATCTCTGTGAGATGAATACAGACACCCCAAAGCAGTTTTTCAGAAAACTTATTTCTAGTTTTTGTCTGAAAATGTTTCCTTTTTCACCATAGTCCTCTATGCACTCCAAAATATCCCTTTGCAGACTCTATAAAAATGTTATTCCCAACTGCTGAATGAAAAGAACGATTTGCAGGCAGTTTCAAGATCACCAAATAAGAACAGCTGCAGTATACAGCTCCCAGTGTGAGCGATGCAGAAAGTGGGTGATTTCTGCATTTCGAACTGAGGTACTGGGTTCATCTCAGTGGTGCTAATCAGGCAGTGGGTGCAGGAGAGTGGGTGCAGTGCACTGAGCATGAGCTGAAGCAGGGCGAGGCATCACTTCATGTGGGAAGTGCAAGGGGTCAGGGAATTCACTTTTCTAGCCAAGCAAAGCTGTGACAAAATCACCTGGAAAATCAGGTCATTCCAACCATAATACTGTGCTTTTCCAATGGTCTTAGCAAATGGCACACGAGGACGTTATATCCCATGCCCAGCTCTGAGGGTCCCACACCCACAGGGCCTCACTCATTGCTAGCACAGCAGTCTGAGATCGAACTGCAAGACAGCAGTGAGCCTGCAGGAGGGGCGCCCACCATTGCTGATGCTTGAGTAGATACACAAAGGGGCCAGGAAGCTACAACTGGGTGGAGCCCACCGCAGCTCAAGGAGACCTGCCTGCCTCTTTGGACTCCACTTCTGGGGACAGGGCATAGCCAAACAAAAGGCAGCAGAACCCTCTGCAGACTTAAATGTCCCTGTCTGACAGCTTTGAAGAGAGTAGTGGTTCTCCCAGCATGGAGTTTGAAATCTGAGAACAGACAGACTGCCTCCTCAAGTGGGTCCCTGACCCCTGAGTAGCCTAACTGGAAGGCACCCCTCAGTAAGGGAAGACAGACTTCTCACATGGCCCGGTAGCCCTCTGAGATGAAACTTCCAGAGGAAAGATCAGGCAGCAAATTCACTGTTCAGCAATATTCGCTGTTTTTCAGCCTCTGTTGCTGATACCCAGGCAAACAGGGTCTGGAGTGGACCTCCAGCAAACTCCAACAAGCATGCAACTGAGGATCCTGACAGCTAGAAGGAAAACAAACAAACAGAAAGGACATCCACACCAAAACCCCATCTGTACGTCACCATCATCAAAGACAAAATGTAGATAAAACCACAAAGATAGGGAAAAAACAGAGCAGAAAAACTGAAAATTCTAAAAGTCAGAGCACCTCTCCTCCCCCAAAGGAACACAGCTCCTCACCAGCAATGGAACAAAGCTGGATTGAGGATGACTTTGATGAGCTGAGATAAGAAGGCTTTAGACAATCAAACTTCTCCAAACTAAAGGATGAAATTCGAACCCATCCCAAAGAAGTTGAAAACCTTGAAAAATATTAGACGACTGGCTAACTAGAATAACCAATGCAGAGAAGTCCTTAAAGGACCTGATGGAGCTGAAAACCATGGCAAGAGAACTATGTGATGAATGCACAAGCTTCAGTAGCTGATTCGATCAACTGGAAGAAAGGGTATCAGTGATTGAAGATCAAATGAATGAAATGAAGTGAGAAGAGTAGTTTAGAGAAAAAAGAGGAAAGAGAAATGAACAAAGCCTCCAAGAAATATGGGACTATGTGAAAAGACCAAATCTACATCTGATTGGTGTACCTGAAAGTGATGGGGAGAATGGAACCAAGTTGGAAAACACTCTGCAGTATATTATCCAGGAGAACTACCCCAACCTAGCAAGGTAGGCCATATTCAAATTCAGGAAATACAGAGAATAGCACAAAGATACTCCTCGAGAAGAGCAACTCCAATACATAATTGTCAGATTCACCAAAGTTGAAATGAAGGAAAAAATGTTAAGGGCAACCAGCGAGAAATGTCGGGTTACTCACAAAGGGAAGACCATCAGACTAACAGCTCATTTCGTGGCAGAAATTCTACATGTCATAAGAGTGTGGGGGCCAATATTCAACATTGTTAAAGAAAAGAATTTTCAAAGCAGAATTTCATATCCAACCAAACTAAGCATCATAAGTGAAGGAGAAATAATATACTTTACAGACAAGCAAATGCTGAGAGATTTTGTCAACACCAGGCCTGCCCCAAAAGAGCTCCTGAGGGAAGCACTAGACATGATAAGGAACAACTGGTATCGGCCACTGCAAAAACATGCCAAATTGTAAAGATCGTCAAGGCTAGGAAGAAACTGCATCAACTAACGAGCAAAATAACCAACTAACATCATAATGACAGTTTCAAATTCACACATAACAATATTAACCTTAAAAGTAAATGGGCTCAATGCTCCAATTAAAAGACACAGACTGGCAAATTGGATAACAGTCAAGAACCATCAGTGTGTTGTATTCAGGAAACATATCTCACCTACAGAGACACCCATAGGCTCCAAATAAAGGGATGGAGGAAGATCTATCAAGCAAATGGAAAACAAAAAAAGGCAGGGGTTGCAATCCTAGTCTCTGATAAAACGGACTTTAAACCAACAAAGATCAAAAGAGACAAAGAAGACCATTACACAATGGTAAAAGGATCAATTCAACAAGAAGAGCTAACTATTCTAAATATATATGCACCCAATACAGGAGCACCCAGATTCATAAAGCAAGTTCTTGGAGACTTACAAAGAGACTTAGGCTCCCACACAATAATAATGGGAGAACTTAGCACCCCACTGTCAATATTAGACAGATCAACGAGACAGAAAGTGAACAAGGATATCCAGGAATTGAAGTCAACTCTGCACCAAGCAGACCTAATAGATATCTACAGAACTCTCCACCCCAAATCAACAGAGCATACATTCTTCTCAACACCAAACTGCACTTATTCCAAAATTGACCACATAGTTGAAGTAAAGCACTCCTCAGCAAATGTAAAAGAACAGAAATGATAACAAACAGTCTGTCAGACCACAGTGCAATCAAACTAGAACTCAGGATTAAGAAACTCACTCAAAACTGCTCAACTACACGGAAACTGAACAACCTGCTCCTAAATGACTACTAAGTACATAACGAAATGAAGGCAGAAATAGACATTCTTTGAAACCAACGACACAGCACACTAGAATCTCTGGGACACATTTACAGCTGTGTGTAGAGGGAAATTTATAGGACTAAATGTCCACTAGAGAAAGCAAGAAAGATCTAAAATTGACACCCTGACATCACAATTAAAAGAACTACAGAAGCAAGAGCAAAAACACTCAAAAGCTAGCAGAAGGCAAGAAATAACTAAAATCAGCACAGAACTGAAGGAGCTAGAGACAAAAGAAACCCTTGAAAAAATCAATGAATCCAGGAGCTGGTTTTTTGAAAAGATCAGCAAAATTGATAGACAGCTGGCAAGACTAATAAAGAAGAAAAGAGGAAGAATCAAATAGATGCAATAAAAAATGACAAAGGGGATATCACCACTGATCCCACAGAAATATAAACTATGATCAGAGAGTACTATAAACACCTCTACACAAATAAACTAGAAAATCTAGAAGAAATGGATAAGTTCCTCGACACACACACCCTCCCAAGACTAAACCAGGAAGAAGTTGAATCTCTGAATAGACCAATAACAGGCTCTGAAACTGAGGCAATAATTAATAGCTTACCAGCCTAAAAAGTCCAAGACTACATGGATTCACAGCTGAATTCTACCAGAGGTACAAGGAGAATCTGGTACCATTCCTTCTGAAACTATTCCAATCAATAGAAAAAGTAGGAATCCTCCCTAACTCATTTTATGAGACCAGCATCATCCTGATACCAAAGGATGGCAGAGACACAACAAAAAAAGATAATTTTAGACCAATATCCCTAATGATGAACATCGATGCAAAAATCCTCAATAAAATACTGACAGAATGAATCCAGTGGCACATCAAAAAGCTTATCCACCATGATCAAGTTGGCTTCATTCCTAGGATGCAAGGTTGGTTCAACACATGCAAATCAATAAATGCAATCCAGCATATAAACAGAACCAAAGACAAAAACCACATGCTTACCTCAATAGATGCAGAAAAGGCCTTTGAAAAAATTCAACTACGCTTCATGCTAAAAACTCTCAATAAATTAGGTATTGATGGGACGTTTCTAAAAATAGTAAGAGCTATCTATGACAAACCCACAGTAAATATCATGCTGAATGGGCAAACACTGGAAGCATTCCCTTTGAAAACTGGCACAAGACAGGGATGCCTGCTCTCACCACTCCTATTCAACATACTGTTGGACTCTCTGGCCAGGGCAATTAGGCAGTAGAAAGAAATAAAGGGTATTTAATTAGGAAAAGAGGAAGTCAAATTGCCCCTGTTTGCAGAAGACATGATTGTATATCTAGAAAACCCCATCGTCTCTGCTCAAAATCTCCTTAAGCTGATAAGCAACTTCAGCAAAGTCTCAGAATCACAATCAGTGTGCGAGAATCACAAGAATTCTTATACACCAATAACAGACAAACAGAGAGCGCAATCATGAGTGAACTCCCATTCACAATTGCTTCAAACAGAATAAAATATCTAGGAATCCAATTACAAGGGACATGAAGGACCTCTTCAAGGAGAACTACAAACCACTGCTCAATGAAATAAAAGAGGATGCAAACAAGTGGAAGAACATTCCATGCCCTTGGATAGGAAGAATCATACTGAAAATGGTGAAATGGTCATACTGCCCAAGGTAATTTATAGATTCAATGCCATCCCCATCAAGCTACTAATGACTTTCTTCACAGAATTGGAAAGAACTACTCTAAAGTTCATATGGAACAAAAAAGGGCCCACATTGCCAAGTCAACCCTAAACCAAAAGAACAGAGCTGGAGGCATCACACTACCTAACTTCAAACTATACTACAAGTCTATAGTAATCAAAAGAGCATGGTACTGATACCAAAACAGAGATATGGACCAATGGAACAGAACAGAAGTCTCAAAAATAATACCACACATCAACAACTATATGATTTATGACAAACCTGACAAAAACAAGAAATGGGGAAAGGATTCCCTATTGAACAAATGGTGCTGGGAAAACTGGCTAGCCATATGTAGAAAGCTGAAACTGGATCCCTTCCTTACACCTTATACAAAAATTAGTTCAAGATGGATTGAAGACTTATATCTTAGACTTAAAACCATGAAAACCCTAGAAGAAAACGTAGGCAATATCATTCAGGACGTAGGCATGGGCAAGGACTTCATGTCTAAAACACCAAAAGAAACAGCAACAAAAACTGAAATTGACAAATGGGATCTAATTGAACTAAAGAACTTCTGCACAGCCAAAGAAACTACCATCAAAGTGAACAGGCAACCTACAGAATGGGAGAAAATTTTTGCAATCTACTCATCTGACAAAGGGCTAATATCGAGAATCTACAAGGAACTCAAACAAATTTACAAGAAAAATAAACCAAAGAAACCCAACAACAAGTGGGAGGAAGACATTAAAGACACTTCTCAAAAGAAGAATTTATGCAGCCAACAGACACATGAAAAACTGCTCATCATCAGTGACCATCGGAGAAATGCAAATCAAAGCCACAATGAGATACCTTCTCACACTAGTTAGAATGGTGATCATTAAAAAGTCAGGAAACAACAGGTGCTGGAGAGGATGTGGAGAAAAAGGAACACTTTTTACACTGTTTGTGGGACTGTAAACTAGTTCGACCATTGTGGAAGTCAGTGTGGCTATTCCTCAGGGATCTAGAACTAGAAATACCATTTGACCCAGCAATCCCATTACTGGGTATATACCCAAAGGTTTATAAATCATTCTGCAATAAAGACACATGCACACATATGTTTACTGTGGCACTATTCACAATAGCAAAGACTTGGAACCAACCCAAATGTCCAACAATGATAGACTGGATGAAGAAAATGTGGCACATATACACCATGGAATACTATGCAGCCATAAAAAATGATGAGTTCATGTCCTTTGTAGGGACATGGATGAAACTGGAAACCATCATTCCCAGCAGACTATCACAAGTACATAAAACTAAACACTGCATATTCTCACTCATAGGTAGGAATTGAATAATGAGAACACTTGGACACAGGAAGTGGAACATCACACACCGGGGCCTTTTGTGGAGTGCAGGGAGGCGGGAGGGATAGCATTAGGTGACATACCTAATGTAAATGACGAGTTAACGGGTGCAGCACACCAACATGGCATATTTATACATAAACTTGCACATTGTGCACATTTACCCTAGAACTTTAAGTGTAAAATATATATATAATATATATATAAAATATATAGATTATATATAGTATATATATTATATAGATAATATATATATATTATATAGATAATATATAATATATAATATATTATATAGATAATATATATATATATAAAGAAAAGAAAGGATTAACTCTGCGAGATGAATGCACACATCACAAAGCAGTTTCTCAGATAACTTCCTTCCAGTTTTTATCCTGGGATATTCACTTTTTACCCATTGGTCTCAATGAGCTCTGAAATGTCCATTTGCATAATGGACAAAAACAGTGTTCCAAACTTCTGAATCCAAAAAAAGTTTAACTCCCTGAGATGAGTGCAGACATCACAAAGCAGTTTTTCAGGAAGTTTCTTTATAGTTATTATATGAAGATATTTCCTTTTTCACCATAGGCCTCAATGCTCTCTGAAATATCCCTTTGAGAATTCTAAAAAAGAGTGTTCCAAACTGTAGAATGAAAAGCAAGGTTTAATTCTGAAAGATGAATGCTAACATCACATAGAAGTTTCTCAGATAGCTTCCAGCTAGTTTTTATTGTGGGTTATTTACTTTTTCCCTATTGACCTCTATGAGCTCACAAATGTCCATTTGCAGAATGGAAAAAAAACAGTGTTTCCAAACTGCTAAATCCAAAGGAAGTTTTAACACTGTGAGATAAATGTGCACACCACAAAGCAGTTTCTCAGAAAGCTTCTTTCTAGTTTTTATCTGAAGATGTTTCCTATTTCACCATAGGCCACAATACTCTCTGAAATATCACTTTGCAGATTCTACAAAAACAGTGTTTCCAAACTGCCGAATGAAAAGGAAGGTTTAACTCTGCAAGATGAATGCACACATCACGTAGCAGTGTCTCAGATAGTTTCCGTCTAATTTTTATCCTGGGATATTGGCTTTTTCCCCATTGGCCTAAATGGGCACCCAAATGTTCATTCACAGAATGGACAAAAACAGCGTTTCCAAACTGCTGAATTGACAGAGATTTAACTCTGTGAGACGAATGTATACATCACAAAGAAGTTTCTCATAAAGCTTCTTTTTGCTTTTTATCTGAAGATGTTTCCTACTTCACCATAGGATTCAATGCTCTCTGAAATATTCCTTTGCAGATTCTACAAAAATAGTGTTCCCAAACTGCTGAATGAAAGCAAAGTTTTAACTCTGTAAGATGTATGCACACATCACATAGCAGTTTCTCAGATACCTTCCATCTACTTTTTATCCTGGGATATTTGCTTTTTCTTTTTTGGCATCAATGAGATCCCCAATGTCCATTCGCAGAATGGACAAAAAATACTGTTTCCAAACTGATGAATCCAAAGGAAGGTTTAACACTTTGAGATAATGTGCACCTCACAAAGCAGTTTCTTAGAAACCATCTTTATATTTTTTATCTGAAGATGTTTCCATTTTCACCATAGGCTTCATGCTCTCTGAAATACCCCTTTGCAGATTCTACAAAAACAGTGTTTCTAAACAACTGAATGGAAAGAAAGAGTTAATTCTACTAGATGAATGCATGCATCCCTTAGCAGATTCTCAGATAATTTCCATCTAATTTTTATCCTGGAATATTCGCTTTTTCACCATTGACCTCAATGAGCTCCCAAATATTCATTTGCAGAATGGACAGAAACAGTGTTTCCAAACTACTGAATTGACAGAAAGTTTTAACTCTGTGAGATGAATGCACACATCAAAAAGCAGTTTCTCAGAAAGCTTCCTTTTGGTTTTATCTGAAGATGTTTCCTTTTTCACCATAGGCCTCAAAGCTCTCTGAAATATACCTTTGCAGACTCTACAAAAAAAAAGTGTATCTAAACTGCTGAATGAAAAGAAAGTTTTAACTGTGTGAGATGAATGCACACATCACAAAGTGTTTCTCAGCTAGCTTCCTTCTTGTTTTTATCCTGTGATATTCACTCTTTCCCTGTTGGCCTCAAGGATCTCCCAAATGGCCATTCGCAGAATGGACAAAAATAGTGTTGCCAAATTGCTGAAACCAAAGAAAGGTTTAATTCTTTGAGATGAATGCACACATCTCAAATCACTCTCTCAGAATATTCTTTCTAGTTATTATCTGAATATTATTTCTTTTTCACCATATGCCTCAATGCTCTCCAAAATATCCCTTTGCAGCTTCTCAAAAAACAGTGTTTCCCAACAGCTGAATGAAAAGAATGGTTTAACTCTGTGAAGTGAATGCAGACATCACAATGCGATTTCTCAGATGGCTTCCTTCTAGATTTTATCCAGGGATATTCGCTTTCCCACCATTGGCGTCAATGAGCTCCCAAATGTCCATTTGCACAGTGGACAAAAACAGTGTTTCAAAACTGCTCAATCAAAAGAATAGTTCAACTCTGTGAGATAAATGCACACATCACACAGAAGTTTCTCAGAAAGCTTCTGTCTAATTTTTATGCGAAGATATTTCCTTTTTCACCATATGCCTCAAGGAGCTCACAAATATCCCTTTGCAGATTCTACAAAAAGGCAGTTTCCAATCTGCTGAATGAAAAGAATGGTGTAACTCTGTGAGACGAATGCTCACATCACATAGCTGTTTCAGAGATAGTTTCTGTCTAGTTTTTATCCTGGGATATTCCTTTTTTCTCCTTTGGCCTAACTGAGCTCCCAAATGTCCATTTGCAGAATGGACAAAGACAATGTTTCCAAACTACTTAATCCAAGGAAAGGTTTAACTCTGTGAGATGAATGCACACATCACAAAGCAGTTCTCAGAAAGCTTCTTTTCTAGTTTTTATCTGAAGGTGAGTCTTTTTTCCACAAAGGCCACAATGCTCTCTGAAATACCCCTTTGCATTCTACAAAAGCGATGTTTCCAAACTGCAGAATAAAAATCAATATTTAACTCTGTGAGATGAATGCAGACATCACATAGCAGTTTTTCAGATAGCTTCCTTCTAGTTTTAATCCTGGGACATTTCCTTTTTTGCCATTGCCTCCAATGAGTTCTCAAATGTCCATTCACTGCAGGGACAAAAACAGTGTTTCCAAACTCCTGAATCCAAAGAACTGTTTGACTCTGTGAGATGAATGCACATATCACAAAGCAGTTTCTCAGAAAGCTTGTTTCTAGTTTTTATCAGAAGTTATTTCCTTTTTCACCATAGGCCTCAATGCTCTCCATAATATCCCTTTGCAGTCCCTACAGAAACGGTGTTTCCAAACTGCTCAGTGGAAAGCATGGTTTAACTCTTTGAGATGAATGCAGACATCACAAAGCAGTTTCTCAGATAGATTCATTCTAGTTTTTATCCTGGGATATTCCCTTTTATGCCATTGGCTTCATGGAGCTATCAATTGTCCATTCTCTAAGTGGGCAAAAACAGTGTTTACAAATTGCTGAATGAAAAGAATGGTTTAACTATGTGAGGTGAGTGCACAAATGATAAACTGGTTTCTCAGATAGATTGCTTCAAGTTTTTATTCTGGGTTATTCACTTTTTTGCCATTGGCCTCAATGAGCTCTGAAATGTCCATTCACAGAATGGACATAAACTGTGTTTCCAAAGTACTGAATCTGAAGAAAGTTTTAAGTCTGTGAGATGAATGCTGCTGAATAAAAAGCATGGTTTAACTCTGTGAGATGAATGCACACATCACAGAGCAGTTTGTCAGATAGCTTCCTTCTAGTTTTTATCCTGGGATATTCCCTTTTTCGACATCAGTCTCAATGAACTCCCAAATGTCCATTCGCTGAGTAGACAAAAACAGTGTTTCAAAACTGTTGAATCCAGTGTACAGTTTAACTCTGTGAGATGAATTCACGCATCACAAGGCAGTTTCTCAGAAATATTCTTTCCAGTTTATATCTGAAGATATTTCCTTTTTCACCATAGTTCTTAATTCACTCCAAAATATCCCTTTGAAGATTCTACAAAGCACTGTTTCCAAACTGCTGTATGAAAAGAAAGCTTTAACTCTGCGAGATGAATGCACACATCACAAAGCAGTTTCTCGGATAGCTTCCTCCTAGGTTTTATTCAAGGATATTCAGTTTTTCACCAATGGCTTCAATTAAGTACCAAATGTCCATTCAAAACACCCTTTCCAAATTATTGAATCCAAAGAAAGGTTTAAATCTGTGAGATGACTGCACACACCATAAGGCAGTTTCTTAGAAAGCTTCTTTCTAGTTTTTATCTGAAGAGGCCATTTCACCAAAAGCCTCAATGCTCTCTGAAATAACCCTTTGTGAATTCTACAAAAACAGTGTTTCCAAACTACTGAATGAAAAGAAAGGTTTATCTCTGCGAGATCAGTGCTCACATCACAAAGAGGTTTCTGAGATAACTTCTTTCTAGTTTTTATCCAGGGATATTCTCTTTTTCACCATTCACCTCAATGAGCTCCAAAATGCCCATTCGCAGACTGGACAAAAACATTTTTCCAAACTGCTGAATCCAGTGTACAGTTTAACTCTGTGAGATGAATTCACACAACACAAGGCAGTTATTCAGAAAGATTCTTTCAAGTTTATATCTGAAGATATTTCCTCTTTCAACATAGTCCTCAATATGCTGTAAAATATCCTTTTGATGAGTCTACAAAAACAGTTTCCAAACTGCTGTATGAAAAGAAAGCTTTAACTCTGCAAGATGAATGCACACATCACAAAGCAGTTTCATAGATAGCTTCCTTCGAGTTTTTATACAGGAATATTCTCTTTTTCACCAATAGCCTCAATGGAGTACCAAATGTCCATTCAAAACACTCTTTTCAAATTACTGAATCCAAAGAAAGGCTTAACTCTGTGAGATGATTGCAGACATGACAAAGCTGTTTCTCAGAGATCTTTGTAGTTTTTATCTGAGGAAGTTTCCTTTTTCACCATAGGCCTCAATGATCTCTGTAATATCCCATTGCATATTAAACAAAAACAGTGTTCCAAACTACTGAATGAAAAGCATGCTTAATTCCGTGAGATGAATGCACACATCGCATAGCAGTTTCTCATGTAGCTTTCTTCTAGTTTTCATCCTGGGATATTACCTTTTTCACCATTGGCCACAAAGAAATCCCAAATATCCATTCACTGAGAGGACAAAAAAAGTGTTTCAAAACTGCTGAATCCAAAGAAAGGTTTAATTCTGTCAGATGAATGCACACATCATAAGGCAGTTACTAAAAAATCTTCTTTCTAGTTTTTATATGAAAATGTTCCCTATTTCACCATAGGCCTGAATACTCTCCTAAATATCCATTTGTGGATACTACAAAAACAGTGTTTTGAAACTGCTGTATGAAAAGAAAGGTTTAAATCTGTGAGATGAATGCACACATACCAAAGCAGTTTCTCAGGTAGCTGCCTTCTGGTTTTAATCCTGGGATATTTGCTTTTTCGTCATTGTCCTCAAGGAGCTCACAAATATCCATTTGCAGAATGGACAAAACAATCTTTACAAGCTACTCAATCCAAAGAATGCACACATCACAAAGCAGTTTCTCAGAACATTTATTTCTAGTTTTTATCTGAAGATGTTTCCTATTTCACCACAGGCTTCAATACTCTCGGAAATAATACTTTACAGATTCTACCAAAACAGTGTTTCCAAAGTGCTGGATGAAAAGAAAGGTTTAACTCTGTGAAATGAATTCTCATATCACAAAGCAGTTTCTCAGATAGCTTCCTCCTAGTTTTAATATAAGGATATTCCCTTTATTGGCATTGACCTCAATGAGCTCCCAAATGTCCATTCACAGAATGTCAAAAAAAGTTTTTCCAAACTACTGAATCCAAAGAAAGGTTTAACACTGTGAGATGAATGCACACATCACAAAGCAGTTACTCAGAAAGCTTCTTTCTAGTTTTTATATGACGATGTTTCCTTTATCACCCTTGGACTCAATGCTCTCTGAAATATCCCTTTGCAGATTCTACATAAACAGTGTTTCCAAACTAATGAATGAAAAGAAAGGTTTAACTCTGTGAGATGAATGCACACACCACAATGCATTTTCTCAGACAGATTCCTTCTAGTTTTACCCTGGTATAATCTATTTTTCACCATTGGCCTCTATGAGTTCCCAATGTCCATTCACAGAATGGACAAAAACAGTATTTCCAAACTACTGAATCCAAAGAAAGGTTTATGTTTTTGAGATGAATCAACACATCACAAAACAATTTCTCAGATAGCTTCCATCTAGTCTTTATCTGAAGATTTTTCCTTTTTCACTGTAGGCCTCAATGCTCTCTGAAATATCCCTTTTGAGATTCTGCAAAAACATCATTTCCAAACTGCTGAATCCAAAGAAATGTTTAACTCTGTGAGATGAATGCACACATCACAAAGCAGTTTCTCAGAAAGCTTCTTTCTATTTTTATCTGAAGATGTTTCCTTTTTCACCAGAGGCCTCAATTTTCTCTGAAATATCTGTTTTCAGATTCTACAAAAACAGTGTTTCCAAACTACTGAATCCAAAGACAGCTTTAATTCTCTGAGATGAATGCACACATTACAAAGCAATTTCTTAGAATGCTTCTTTATAGTTTTTATCTGAAGATGTTTCCTTTTTCACCATAGGCCTCAATGCTCTTCAAAATACCTGTTTTCCAATTCTAGAAAAACAGTGTTTCCAAACTGCTGTTCCAAAGACAGGTTTAATTTTGTGAGATGAATGCACACTTCAGAAAGCAGTTTCTAAGAAAACTTCTTTCTAGTTTTACCTAAGATGTTTCATTTTTAACAGTAGGTGCCAATGCTTTGCTAAATATCCCTTTGGTGATTCTAGAAAAACAGTGTTTCCCAAACTACTGAATCCAAAGACAGGTTTACCTCTGTGACATGAATGCACACATCACAAAGCGATTCTCAGATAGCTTCCTTCTAGTTTTTATCTTACGATATTCACATTTTCACAATTAGCCTCAGTGAGCTCCCAAATGTTCATTTGCACAATGGAAAAAAACAGTGTTTGCAAACTATTGAATTCAAAGAATCGTTTAAGTCTGTGAGATGAATGCACACATCACAAAGCAGTTTCTCAGAAAGCTGCTTTCTAGTTTTTATATGAAGGTGTTTCCTCTTTCACCACAGGCCTCAATGCTCTGGGAAATATCCCTTTGGAGATTCTAAAAAATAGTGTATCCAAACTGCTGAATCCAAAAAAGGTTTAACTCTGTGAGATGAATGCCCACACCACAAAACAGTTTCTCAGCAAGATTCTTTCTAGTTTTTATTTGAAGATATTTCCTTTTTGACCATAGTCCTCAATGCTCTCCGAAATGTCCCCTGGCAGCTTCTACAAAAACACTGTTTCCAAACTGCTGAATGAAAAGAAAGGTTTAACTCTGTGAGATGAATATGTACATCACATAGTAGTTTCTCACATAGTTTCCACTTGGGTTTATCCTGGGATATTTCACTTTTTTGCCATTGGCCTCAATGAACTCCCAATTGTCCATTCCCAGAAGGGACAAAAATAGTGTTTCAAATGACTGACTCAAAAGAAAGGTTTAACTCTGTGAGATGAATGCACATAGCACAAAGCAGTCTCTCAGAAAGCTTCTTTCTAATTTTTATCTAAATATTTTTCCTTTTTCACCTTAGGCCTAAATGCTCTTTCAAATATCCCTTTGCAGATACTACAAAAACAGTGTTTCCAGAGTGCTGAATGAAAAGAAAGGTTTAACTCTGTTCGATGAACGCACACAACACACAGCAGTTTCTCAGATAGCTTCCTCCTAGTTTTTATCCTGCTATGTTTGATTTTTCAACATTGGCCTCAGTGAAGCAGCAAATGTCCATTCGTAGATTGGAAAAAACAGTGTTTTGAAAGTACAGAATCCGAAAAATATTTAAGTCTGTGACATGAAAGCACACATCACAAAGCAGATTCCCAGAAAGCTTCTTTGTAGTTTTTATCTGAAGATGTTTCCGTTTTCACCATAGGCCTGAATTCTTCCCAAAACATCCCTTTGAAGATACTACAAAAACACTCTTTCCAAGCTGGTGCATCCAAAGGGAAGTTTAACTCTGTGAGATGAATGCACACATCACAAAGTAGTTTCTCAGAAAGCTTCTTTCTACTTTTTATCTGAACATGGTTCCTTTTTCTCCGTAGACCTCAATTCTCTCTGAAACATCCATTTGTAGATTCTACAAAAACACTGTTCCCAAACTGCTGCATTCAAAGAAAGGTTAATGAATGCACACTTCACAGGGCAGTTTCTCAGAAAACTTTCTAGTTTTTATCTGAAGATATTTCCTTTTTCACCATAGGCCTCAATGATCTCCCAAATATCCCTTTGCAGATTCTACTAAAACTGTATTTCTAAACTGCTGATTGAAAAGAAAGTTTTAATTCTGCAAGATGAATGCACATATCACATAGCAGTTTCTCAGATAGCTTCCATCTAGTTTTTCTCTTGGGATATTCGCTTTTTTGCCATGGGCCTCAATGAGTTCCCATCTGTCAATTCACAGAATGAACAAAAACTCTCTTTCCAAACTACTGCATGGAAAGAAAAGATTAATTCCTCGACATGAATGCACAAATTACAAAGCAGTTTCTCAGAAAGCTTCTTTTTAATTTTTATCTGAAGATATTTCTTTTTTCACCATAGTCCTCAATGCTCTGTGAAATATCCCTTTGGAGATTCTACAAAAACAGTGTTTCCAAACTGCGGAATGAAAAGTAAGGTTTAACTCTGTGAGATGAATGCACACATCACAAAGTGGTTTCTCAAATAGCTTCCATCTACTTTTTATCCTGGGATATCTGCTTTCTCCCCATAGGCCTCAGTGAGCTCCAAAAAGAAAGGTTTAACTCGGTGAAACGAATGATCACATTGCAAAGTGGCTTATCAGATACCTGCCTTCTAGTTTTAATCCTGGGATATTCCATTTTTTGCCTTTGGCCCCAATGTTCTCCCAATTGTCCATTCCGCGAATGGACAAAAACAATGTTTCCAAACAGCTGAATCTAAAGAATGGTTTAACTTTATGGGATGAATGCACACATCACATAACAGTTTCTCAGATAGCTTCCATCGACTTTTTATCCTGGGATATATGTTTTTTCCCCGTAGATCTCAATGAGATCCCAAATGGTCATTCACAGAATGGACAAAAACAGTGTTTCCAAACTGCTGAATGAAGAGAAAGGTTTAACTCTGTGAGATGAGTGCCCATATCACAAAGCAGTTTCTCAGATACTTTCCTTCGCGTTTTTATCCTGGGATACTTGCTTTTTTGCCATTGTCTTCAGTGATCTCCAAAATGTCAATTTGCAGAATGGATTAAAACAGTTTTTCCAAACTCCTGAGTCCAAAGAAGGGTTTAGCTCTGTGATTTGAACGTCCACATCACAAAGTAATTTCACAGAAAGCTTCTTTCTAGTTTTTATCTGAAGGTGTTGCCTATTTCACTGTAGGCCTCAATGCTCTCTCAAGTATCCTTTTGCAGATTGTACAAAAACAGTCTTTCCAAACAGCTGAATGAAAAGAAAGGTTTAACACTGTGAGTTAAATGCACCCATCCCAAAGTGGATTCTCAAATAGCATCCTTATAGTATTTATGCTGAGATATTAGCTTTTGACAATGAGCTTCATTGAGCTCCCAAATGTTTATTTGTAGAATGGACAAAAATAATTTCTCCAAAGTGATGAACAAAAGAAAGATTTAATTATGTTAGATGAATGGACACAACACAAAGCAGTTTCTCAGAAAGGTTATTTCTAATTTTAATCTGAAATTGTTTCCTTTTTTCAACATTGGCCTCTATGCACTCCCAAATGTAACATAGCAGATTCTACAAAACCATTGTTTCCAAACTGCTAAATGAAAAGAAAGTTTTAACTCTGTGAGATGAATGCACACATCAAAAACGTTTCCTCAGATAGCTTCCTTCTAGTTTGTACCCTGGGATATTCCTTTTTCTGAAGTTGGCCTCAAAGAGCTCTCAAACGTCCATTCACAGAATGGACAAAAACAGTCTTTCCATACTGCTGAATTGAAAGAAGTGTTTAACTCTGTGAGATGAATGCACACATCACAATGCAGTTTTTCAGAAAGCTTCTTTCTAGTTTTTATCTGAATATGTTTCTTTTTTCTCTATAGGTCTCAATGTGCACCCAAATATCCCTTTTCAGATTCTATAGAAACAGTTTTTCCAAACTGCTGAATGAAAAGAAAGATTTAACTCAGTGAGATGAATGCACACAAAACAAAGCAGTTTCTCAGATAGCTTCCTTCTGGTTTTTGTCCTGGGATATTTTCTTTTTCGTGATTTGTCTCAATGAGCTCCCAAATGTCCATTCACAGAATGGACAAAAACACTCTTTCCAAACTGCTGAATCCAAAGAAAGGTTTAACACTGTGAGATGTATAGATACATAATGAAGCACTTTCTCACAGTGCTTCTTTCTTGTTTTTATCTGAAGATGTTTCCTTTTTCACCATAGACCTCAATGCATTCCCAAATATTGCTTCACAGATTCTACAAAAACCGTTATTCCAAACTGGTGAGTGAAAAGAAAGCTTTAACTCTTTGAGATCAATGCACACATCACAAATCGGTTTCTCAGATAGCTTCCTTGTAGTTTTTATCCTTGGATATTTGCTTTTTCACCACTGGCCTCAATGAGCTCCAAGATGTCCTATCACAGAATGGACATAAACAGTGTTTCCAAACTGCTGAATACAAAGAAAAGTTTAATTATGTGAGATGAATGCACACATCACAAAGCAGCTTATCAGAAAGCTTCTTACTAGTTTTAATCTGAAGATGTTTCCTTTTTCACCATGTGCATCTATGTACTCCCTAATATCGCTTCACAGATTCTACAAAAACAGTCTTTCCAAACTGCTGAATGAAAAGAATGGGTTAACTCTTCAGATGAATACACATATCCCAAAGCAGTTTCTCAGATAGCTTATAGAATCTAGTTTTTATCCTAGGATATTCACTTTTTCCCCTTTGGCCTCAAATATCTCCCAAATATCCATTGGCAAAATGGAAAAAAATCTTGTTTCCAAACTGCTGAATCCAAAGAAAGGTTTAAATCTGTGAGATGAATGCATACATAAAAAAGCAGTTTCTGAGAAAGTATTTTCCTAGTTTTTATCTGTGGATGTTTCCTATTTCACCATAAGCCTCAAGTTTCTCTGAACTATCCCTTTGCAGATTCTATAAAAACAGTGTTTCCAAACTACTGAATGCAAAGGAAATTTTAACTCTGTGAGATGAATGCACACATCACAAAGCAGTTTTTCAGATTGCTTCTTTGTAGTTTTTAGCCTGGGATATTATCTTTTTCGCCTTTGGCCTCAAAGAGCTCCCAAATGTTCATTCACCGAATGGACAAAAACAGTGTTTCCAAAATACTGAATCCAAAGAATGGTTTAACTCAGTGAGATGAATGCACACATCAGAAAGAAGTTTCTCAGAAACCTTCTTTGTAGTTTTTACCTGAAGTGGTTTCCTTTTTCATCATGGGCCTCAATGCACTCAGAAATATCCCTTTGCAGATTCTACAAAAACAATGCTTCCAAACTGCTGAAAGAAAAGAAAGGTTTAAAACTGTGAGATGAATGCACACATCACAAAGCAGTTTCTCAGAAAGCTTCCTGCTAATTTTTGTCAGACGTTTCCTTTTTCACCATAGGCCTCAATGCACTCCCAAACTTCCCTTCACAGATTTTACAAAATCAGTGTTTCCAAACTGCTGAATGAAAAGAATATTTAATCCTGTGAGAGGAATGCAGACAACACAAAGCAGTTCCTCAGATAGCTTCCTTGTAGTTTTGATCCTGGGATATTCAGTTATTTGCCATTGGCCTCAAAGACCTCCCAAATTTCCATTTGCAGCATGGACAAAAACAGTGTTTACAAACTGCTGATTCCAAAGAGAGCTTTAAGTCTGTGAGATGAATGCACACATCACAGGTCAGTTTCTCAGAAAGGTTCTTTCTAGTTTTTATCTGAAGATATTTTATTTTACACAATAGGCCTCATTGCACTCCCAAATATCCCCTCATGGATTTGACAAGAAACATTCTTTCCAAAGTGTTGAATGAAAAGACAGGTTTTCCTCTGTGAGATAAATGCACACATCACAAAGCCGCTTCATAGATACTGTCCTTCTAGTTTTTAACTTGTAATATTCGATTTTTTTCCATTGGCCTCAATGAACTCCAAAAAGTCCATTCACAGAATGGAAAAGCACATTATTTTCAAACAGCTGAATCCAAGGAAAGGTTTAACTCTGTGAGATGTATAGAAACATAACAAAGCACTTTCTCACAGAGCTTCTTTCTTGTTTTTATCTGAAGATGTTTCCTTTTTCACCATAGGCCTCAATGCATTCCCAAATATTGCTTTGCAGATTCTACAAAAATGGGTATTCCAAATGGCTGAGTGAAAAGAAAGTTTTAAGTCTGTGAGATCAATGAACAGATCACAAATCGGTTTATCAGATAGCATCCTTGCGGTTTTTATGCTGGGATATTTGCTTTTTCACCACTGGCCTCAATGAGCTCCAAGATGTAGTTTCGCAGAATGGACATAAACAGTGTTTCCACACTGCTGAATCCAAAGAAAGGTTTAATTATGTGAGATGAATGCAAACATCACAAAGCAGTTTATCAGAAAGCTTCTTTCTAGTTTTTATCCAAAGATGTTTCCTTTTTGATGGTACGCATCCATATACTCCCAAATATACCTTTGCAGATTCTACAAAAACAGTGTCTCCAAAATGCTGAATAAAAAGAAATGGTTAACTCTGCAGGATGAATGCACACATCCCAAAGCGGTTTCTCAGATAGATTCCTTCTAGCTTTTATCCTGGGATATTCACTTTTTTCCCATTGGCCTCAATGAGCTCCCAAATATCCATTTGCATAATGGACAAAAACAGTATTTCCAAACTGCTGAATCAAAAGAAAAGTATAACTGTGAGAGTTGAATGCACACATCACAAAGCAGTTTCTCAGAAACATTTTTTTCAGTTTTTATCTGAAGATATTTCCTTTTTCACCCTAGGCCTCAATTTGCTGCTAAATACTCCTTTGCAGATTCTACAAAAACAGTTTTTCCAACCTGCCATATGAAAAGAAAGTTTTAACCTTGTGAGATGAATGCACATATCACAAAGCAGGTTCTCGGATAGTTTCCTTTTAGTATTTGTGCTGGGATATTCACTTTTTCACCATTGCCTTCATTGAGCTCCCAAATATCTATTCACAGAATGGACAAAAAGAATTTTTCCAAACTGCTGAACAAAAGAAATGGTTTAATTCTGTTAGATGAAGGCACACATCACAAAGCAGTTTTTCAGAGAGGTTCTTTCTAAATTTTAACTGAAGATGTTTCCTTTTTCAACAGAGGCCTCTATGCACTCCCAAATATCCCATAGCAGATTCTACAAAACCATTGTTTCCAAACTGCTAAATGAAAATAAACTTTTAACTCTGTGAGATGAATGCACACATCACAAAGGAGTTCCTCAGATAGCTTCCTTCTAGTTTCTACCCTGGGATAATTCCTTCTTTGACACTAGCCTTAAAGAGCCCTCAAATGTCCATTCACAGAATGGACAAAAACAGCCTTTCCATACTGCTGAATCCAAAGAAATGTTTAACTCTGTGAGATGAATGCACACATCACAAAGCAGTTTCTCAGAAAGCTTCTTGCTAGTTTTTACCTGAAGGTATCTCCTTTTTACCATAGGCCTCAATGCTATCCAAAATATCCCTTTGCAGATGCTACAAAAACAGTGTTTCCAAACTGCTGAATGAATAGAAATATTTAACTGTGCAAGAAGAATGCACGCATCACATAACAGTTTCTCAGGTAGCTTCCACGTACTTTTTATCCTGGGATATTTTCTCTTCCCCATGGGCCACAGTAAAGTCAAAATATCCATTCCAAGATTGGACAAAAGCAGTGTTTCCAAACTGCTGAATCCAAAGAAAGTTTTGACTCTGTGAGATGAATGCACAAAGCCGAAAGCAGTTTCTCAGAAAGTGTCTTTCTAGTTTTTATCAGAAGATATTTCCTTTTTCATGATAAACCTCAGTGCTCTCTGAAATATCCCTTTGCTGGTTCTACAAAAACACTGTTTCCAAACTGCTGTATGAAAAGGAAGCTTTAATTCTGCGAGATGAATGTACACAACACAAAGCCATTTCTCAGAAAGATTCCTTCTAGATTTTATCCTGTTATATTCACTTTTTCACCATTAGCCACAAGGAACTCCCAAAAGTACATTCACAGTATGAACAAATACAGTGTTTCCAAACTGCTGAATCCAAAGAGAGGTTTACCTCTGTGAGATGAATGCACACAACACAAACCAGTTTCTCAGGAAGCTTCTTTCTAGTTTTTATCTCAAGATGTTTCCTTTTTCAACATAAGCCTCAATGCTTTCCAAAATATCCCTTTGCAGATTCTGCAAAAACAGTGTTTCCAAACTGCTGAATGAAATGTTTCTCTGTGGATGAATGCACACATCACAAAGAGGTTTCTCAGAGAGCTTCCTTCTAGTTTTTATACCATGATATTCTCTTTTTTGGCCTTAATAAGTTCCCAAAAGTCCATTTGCAGAATGGACAAAAACAGTGTTTCCAATCTGCTGAATCAAAATAAAGCTTTAACTCTGGGAGATTAATGCACACATCACAAAGTAGTTTCTCAGAAAGCTACTTTCTAGTTTTCATCTGAAGATGTTTAGATTTTCACCAAAGACCTCAAAGCTCTCAGAAATATCTCTTTGCAGATTCTACAAAAACAGTGTTTCCAATCTGCTGAATCCAAAGAAAGGATTAACTCTGGGAGTTGAATGCACACATCACATAGCAGTTTCTCAGATATCTTCTGTCTACTTTTTGTCCTGAAATATTCACTTTTTCCTCATTGTCCTCAGTGAGTTTCCAAATGTCCATCCACAGAATGGACAAGAACAGTGTTTCCAAACCAGTGAATGAAAAGAGAAAGTTTAACTCTGTGAGATGAATGCACACATCACAAAGCAGTCTCTCAGATGGCTTCCTTTCAGTTTTTATCCTGTAATATTCATTTTTCACCATTGGCCTCAATGAGCTTCCAAATGTCCATTCATAGCATGGACACAAACAGTGTTTCCAAATATTGAATCCGAAGACAGGTTTAACTGTCTGAGATGAATGCAGACATCACAAATCAGTTACACAGAAATCTTCTTTCTAGATTTTATCTGAAGATGTTACCTTTTCTACCATAGACCTCAATGCTCTCTGAACTATACCTTTGCAGATTGTACAAAAACAGTGTTGCCAAACTGTTGAATCCAAAGGAAGGTTTCTTTCCATGACATGAATGCACGTATCAGAAAGCAGTTTCTCAGAAAGCTTCTTTCTAGTTTTTATCTGAAGATTTTTCTTTTACACCACAAGCCTCAAGGTTATCCAAAATATCTCTTTGCAGATTCTACAGAAACAGTGTTTCCAAACTGCTGAATGAAAAGAAAAATTTAACTCTGCAATATGAATGCACACATCACATAGCAGTTTCTCAGAAAGCTCTTGTCTACTTTATACCCTGGGATATTCACTTTTTCACCATTGGCCTCAAGGAGCTCCCAAATGTTCATTTGCAGAATGGAAAAAAATCAGTGCTTCTAAATGGCTGAGTCCAAATAAAGTTTTAACTCTGTGAGACGAATACACATAAAAAAGCAGATACAAAGAAAGCTTCTCTCTTGTTTTTATCTGAAGATGTTTCATTTAACCATAGGCATCAATGTTCTCTGAAATATCCCTTTGCAGATTCTACAAAAACAGTTTTACCAAACTGCTGAATGAAAAGAAAGGTTTAATTCTATGAGATGAAAACATATATCATAAAGAGGTTTCTTATAAGGCATCTCTCTAGTTTTTATGTGAAGTTATTTCCTTTTTCACCATAGGTTTCAATGTCTCCGAAATATACTTTTGCAGATTCTAGAAAAACACTGTTTCCAAACTGCTGTATGAAGAGAAATACTTACCTCTGTGGGATAAATGCACAAATAACAAACCTGTTTCTCAGATAGCTTCCTTCTTGTTTTGTTCCTGGGATATTTCCTTTTTTGCAATTCCTTCAATGAACTCCCAAATTTCCATTCACAGAATGGACAAAAACAGTGTTTCCAAATTGCTGAATCCAAAGAAAATTTTAACGCTTTGAGATGAATGCACACATCACAAATCGGTTTCTCAGATAGCTTCCTTTTAGTTTTTATCATGGGATACTTGTTTTTTTGCCATTGGCCTCAACGAGCTCCCAAATATCCAATCACAGAATGGACAAAAACAGTGTTTCCAAATTGCTGAATCCAAAGAAAATTTTAACGCTTTGAGATGAATGCACACATCACAAATCGGTTTCTCAGATAGCTTCCTTTTAGTTTTTATCATGGGATACTTGTTTTTTTGCCATTGGCCTCAACGAGCTCCCAAATATGCAATCACAGAATGGACAAAAACAGTGTTTCCAAACTGCTGAATCCAAGGATATGTTTAACTCTGTGAGATGTACGCACACATGACAGAGCAGTTTCTCAGAAAGATTCTTTCTAGTTTTTATCTGAAGATGTCTCCTTTTTCAACATTAGCCTTAATGCTCTCCAAAATATCCCTTTGTAGATTCTACAAAAGCAATCTTTGCAAACTGCTGAATGAAAAGAAAGATTTATCTCTGTGTGATAAAAGCACACATAACATAGCATTTATCAAGAAGATTCTTTCTAGTTTTTATGAGAAGATGTTTTCTTTTTCAATATTGGTCTCAATGCTCTCCAAAATATCCCTTTGCAGATTCTACAAAAACACTCTTTCCAAACTGCTGAATGAAAAGAAATATTTAACTCCATGTGAGAAATGCACACATAACAGCATTTCTCAGGTAGATTTTGTCTAGTTTTTATCTTGGGATATTGGCTTTTTCACCATTGGCCTCAAAGAGCTCCCAAATGTCCATTTGCAGAATGGAAAAAAACAGTGTTTCCAAACTGCTGAATGAAAAGAAATGTTTACATCTGCAAGATGAATGCACACATCAAAAAGAAGTTTCTCAGAAATCTTCTTTCTAGTTTTTCTAAAGATGATTCTTTTTTAACTCATGCCTCAAGTCTCTCTGAAATATCCCTTTGCAAATTCTACAAAAACAGTGTTTCAAAACTTCTGAATGAAAAGAAAGTTTTAACTCTGTGAGATGAATGCACACATCACAAAGCGGTTTCTCACATAGTTTCCTTCAAGTTTTTATCCTGGGATATTCACTTTTTCACTATTGGCCTCAATAAGCTCCTAAATATCCACTCGCAGAATGGACAAAAACTGAGTTTCCATACTGCTGAATCGAAAGAAAGTTTTAACACTGTGAGATGAATGCACACATCACATACAGTTTCTTAGAAATCTTCTTTCAAGATTTTATCTGAAGATGTTTCCTTTTTCACCAGAGGCCTGAATGTTCTCCAAAGTATCCCTTTGCAGATTCTACAAAAACAGTGTCTCAAAACTGCTGAATGAAAGAAAAGTTTTAACTCTGTGAGATGAATGCGCACATCAGAAAGCGGTTTCTCTGAAAGATTCTTACTAGTTTTTATCAGAAGATGTTTCCTATCTCACCATAGGCCTCAATGCTCTCTGAAATATCATTTTACAGATTCTAAAAAAACAGTCTTTCGAAACTGCTGAATGAAAAGTTGGTTTCAATCTGTGAGATGAATGCACACATCACATAGCTGTTTCTCATATGTCATTGGTGTAGTTTTTATCCTGCTATATTAACTTTTACAACACTGGCCTCAAAGAGCTCCCAAATGTCCTTCACAGAATGGGCAGAAATAGTGTTTCCAAACTGCTGAATCCAAAGAAGGTTTACATCTGTGAGATGATGGACACAGCACAAAATAGTCTCTCAGAAAGCATATTTCTCATTTTTACCTGAGATGTTTCCTTTTGCACTGTAGACCACAATGCTCTCCGAAATATCCCTTTACAGATTCTGTAAAAGCAGTGTTTCCAACTGCTGAATGAAAAGAAATGTTTAACTCTGTGAGATGAATGCACACATCACACAACAGTTACTCAGATAGCTTCTTTCTAGTTTTTAATCCTGGGACATTCACTTTTTTGCCATTGGGGCCAATGAACTCTCAAATGTCCATTCACAGAAGGGACAAAAACAGTGTTTCCAAACTCCTGAATCCAAAGAAGAGTTTAACTCCGTAAGGTGAATGGACACATCATGAAGTAGTTTCTCAGAAAGCTTCTTTGTAGTTGTCATCTGAAGATGTTTCCTATTTCACCATAGGCCTGAAGGCTCTCTGAAATATCCCTTTGTAGATACTACAAAAACAGTGTCTCCAAAATGCTGAATGAAAAGAAAGGTTTAACTCTGTGAATAAATTCACACATCACAAAGCGGTTTTCCAGATAGCCTCCTTCTAGTTTTTATACTGGGATATTTTCTTTTTCACCATTGGCCTCAAAGAGCTCCAAATATCCATTTGCAGAATGGACAAAAACATTGTTTCCAAACTGCAGAATTGAAAGAAAGGTTTAAGTCTGTGAGATGAATGCAAACATCACAATGTAGTTTCTCAGAAAGCTTCTTTCTAGTTTTTATGTGAAGATGTTTCCTTTTTCAACATAGGCCTCAATGCTCTCTGAAATATCCCTTTTCATATTCTACAAAAACAGTTTTTCCTACCTGCTGAATGAAAAGATGGGTTTGCCTCTGAGAGGTGAATGCACACATCACATAGCACTTTCTCAGATAGCTTTCTCCTAGTTTTTATCCTGGGATATTGGCTTTTTCACCATTGGTCTCCATGAGCTCCATAATTTCCATTCACAGAATGGACAAAAACAGTGTTTCCACACTGCTGAACACAAAAAAAGGATTAACTCTGTGAGATGACTGTATCCCTCACAYAGCAGTTTCTAAGATAGATTCAGTCCAGTTTTTTCCTGGGATATTTGCTTTTTCGCCATTGGCCTCAATTAACTCCTAAATGTCCATATGCAGAATGGACGAAAACAGTGTTTTCAATCTGCTGATTACAAAGAAAGGTTTAACTATGTGAGATGAATGCACACATCACAAAGCGGTTTCTCAGATAGCTTCCTTTTAGTTTTTATCCTGGGATATTCACTTTTTCACCATTGGCATCAATGAGCTCTGAAATGTCCATTCACAGAATGGACAAAAACACTTTCCAAGCTACTGAATACAAAGAATGGATTAACTCTGTGAGATAAATGCACACGTCACAAAGCAGTTTCTCAGAAAGCTTCTTTCTAGTATTTTTCTGAAGATGTTTCTTTCTAGTTTTTATCTGAAGATGTATCCTTTTCCACCATAGCCCTCATTGCTCTCCAAAATATCCCTTTGCGGATTCTAGAAAAACAGTGTTTCCAAGTTGCTGAATCCCAAGGAAGGTTTAACTCTGTGAGATGAATGCATTCATCACAAAGCAGTTTCTCAGAGAGTTTCTTTCTAGTTTTTATCTGAATATGTTCCCTTTTTCACCATCGGCCTCAAAGTGCTTCCAAATACCCCTTCACACATTCTACAAAAACAGTGTTTCCCAACTGATGAAGGAAATGAAAGATTTTCCTCTGTGAGATGAATACCCACATCAGAAATCGTTTTCTCAGGTAGTATCCTTCTGGTTTTTATCCTGGAATATTCCCTTTTCACCAGTTGCCTCAGTGAGCTCCCAAATGTCCATTCTGTGAATGGACAAAAACAGTGTTTCCAAAAAAGTGAATCCAAAGAAAGGTTTAACTCTGGGAGATGAATGCAAACATCACAAAGTAGTTTCTATGAATTTTTCTTTCAAGTTTTTTTCTGAAGATGTCTCCTGTTTCACCATGGGCCTCTATGAGCTCCCAAATATGCCTTCACAACTTCTAAAAAAATAATCTTTCCAAACTGCTCAATGAAAAGAAAGGTTAACCTCTGTGAAATGAATGCACACACCACAAAGTGGTTTATCAGATAGCTTCCTTCTAGTTTATATTCTGGAATAGTCACTTTTTCACCATTGGCCTCAATGAGCTCCCAAATGTCCATTCACAGAAAGGACAAACACAGTGTTTCCAAACTGCTGAATCCAAAGACGGGTTTAACTCTCTGAGCTGAATGAACACAACGTGAAGCAGTTTTTCAGAAATTTTTTTCTACTTTTCATCTGAAGATGTTTCCTTTTTTCTCATGGGCCTCAATACAMTCCCAAATATCCCTTGGCAGATTCTAAAAAACAGTGTTTCCAAACTGCTTAATGAAAAGAAAGTTTTAGCTCTGTCAGGTGAATGCACACATCACAAAGTGGTTTCTCAGATAGCTTCCTACTAGTTTTTATCCTGGCATATTTGCTTTGTCTCTTTGGTCTCAATGAGCTCCCAAATGTAGACTTGCAGAAKGGACAAAAACAGTGTTTCCAAACTGCTGAATCCCAAGAAAGGTTAACTCTATGAGATGAATGCACACATCACAAAGCAATTTCTCAGACAGCTTCTTTATTGTTTTTATCTGAACATGCTTCTTTTAACCATAGGCCTCAATGCACTCCCAAATATCCCTGAGTAGATTGTACAAAAACATTGTTTACAAACTGCTGAATGAAAAGAAAGGCTTTACTGTGTGAGATGAATGCACACATCACAAAGTGGTTTCCCAGAAATCTCCTTTCTTTTTTTAATCTGAAGTTATTTCCTTTTTCACCATAGGCCACATGTGCTCACAAATATCCCTTCACAGATTCTACCAAAAATGTGCTTCCAAACCTATCAATCAAAAGAAAGTTTTAATACTGTAAGATGAATGCATCCATCAGAAAGCAGTTTCTGAGAAACCTTCTTTCCTGTTTTTATGTGAAGATATTTCCATTTTCACCATAGGCTTCAATGTGCTCCTATGTATAACTTTGCAGATTGTATAAAAACAGTGTTTCTGAACTGTTACATCAAAAGAAGTATTTAATTCTGTGAGATGAATGCACACATTGGAAAGCAGCTTCTCATAACGCTTCTATCCAGTTTTTATCTGAAGCTATTTCATTGTTCACCATAGGCCTTTTGTGCAACAAAACATCGCTTCACAGATTATACAAAAACAGTGTTTCCAAACTGCTCAGTGAAAAGAAAATTTTAACTCTGTGAGTTGAATGCATACATCTCAAAGCAATTTCTCAAAAAGCTTCTTTCTAGTTTTCATCCAAAGATATTTCCTTTTTCACCATAGGCATCAGTTTGCTCCCAAGTATCCCTTTGCAGATTCTACATAAACAGTGTTCCCAAAGTGCTCAACCAAAAGAAACGTTTTGCCCTGTGAGAAGAATGCTCACATCACAAAGTGATTCCTCAGAAAGCTTCTTTCTAGTTTTTATCTAAAGTTATTTCCTTTTTCATCATAGGCCTTGTATGTTCCCAAATATCCCTTTGCAGATTCTACAACTTTGCAGTTTCCAAACTGGTCAATCAAAGAAAAGGTTTAACTCTGAGATGAATGTGCACATCAGAAAGCAGTTTCTCAAAAGTATTCTTTCTATTTTTTTTCCAATGTTATTTTCATTTTCCACCATTGGCTTCAAAGTGCTCCCAAGTATCCCTTCACAGATTCTACAAAAACAGTCTTTCCAAACTGCTCAGTGAAAAGAAAATTTTACCTCTGTGAGATGTATGAACTCATCAAAAAGCAGTTTCTCAGAGAGTTTCTGTTTACTTCTTCTCTGAAGATATTTCCTTTTCCACCATAGACCTCAATGCACTCCCAAATATAACTTCACAGATTCTACAAAAACAGTGTTTCCAAGTGGTTCCATCAAAAGAAGGGTTTAACTCTGAGAGACGAATGCACACTTCAGAAAGCAGTTTCTCATAGTGCTTCTTTCCAGTTTTCGTCAGAAGATATTTTCTTGTTCACCACAGGCTTTTTTTCGCTACATGATATTGCTTCGCAAATTTTTCAAAAACAGTCAACAGCTCAGTCCAAAGAAAGGTTTAACTCTGTGAGATGAATGTACGCATCACAAAGCAATTTCTCAATAAGATTCTTTCTAGTTTTTATCTGAAGATATTTCTTTTATCATCGTAGGCTTCAATGTGCAGCGAAATAGCTCATCGCAGATTCTGCAAAACACTGTTTCCAAACTGCTCACTCAAAAAACTGGTTTAACTCTGTGAGTTGAACGCCCAAATCACAAAGCAGTTTCTCAAAAAGTTTCTTTCTATTTTTATCCGTAGATTTTCCGTTTTTCACCATAGACCTCAGTGCACTCTGAGATATCCCTTTGCAGATTCTACAAAAACAGTGTTTCCAAACTGCTCAATCAAAAGAAACTTTTAACTCTCTGAGATGAATGCACACATGACAGAACAGTTTCTTGGATAGCTTCTGTCTAGTTCTTCTCAGAAGATATTCCTTTTTCCACTATATGCCTCATTGCTTTCCCAAATATCCCTTCCCAGATTGTATAAAAACAGTGTTTCAGAACTGTCCCATCAAAAGATGGACTTAACTGAGTTAGATAAATGCACACATCAGAAAGCAGTTTCTCATAATGCTTCTTTCAAGTTTTTATCCAAAGATATTTCATTTATCACCTTAGGCTTCAATGCACTCCCTAATGTCCCTCCTCAGATTCTACAAAACCACGTTTTACAAACTGCTCAATCAAAGAAAGATTTAACTCTGTGATATGAATACACACAACACAAAGCAGTTTCTCAGGGAACTTCTGTCCAGTTCTTCAATGGAGATATTTCCTTTTCCACCTTAAGCCTCAATGCACTTGCAAATATCCCTTTGCAGATTCTATAAAAACAGTTTCTGAACTGTTCCATCAAAAGAAGGATTTAACTCCCTGAGGAGAATGTGCACAGCAGAAAGCAGTTTCTCCTAACGCTTCTTTCCAGTTTTTATCTGAAGATATTACCTTGTTTTCCATAGGCCTTTTTGTGCTACCTATCATCACTTCGCAGATCATACAGAAACAGGTTTCCAAACTGCTCAGTCAAAGGATAGTTTAACTTTGTTGGATGAATTCACACATCACAAAGCCATTTCTCATAAAGCTTCTTTCTATTTTTATTTGAAGATTTTCCTTCATCACCATAGGATTTAATGTGCTCCCAAATATCTCTTCACATATACTACAAAAACATTGTTTCCAAACTGATCCTTCAAAAGAAAGGTTTAACTCTGTGAGATGAATGCACACATCACAAAGCAGCTTCTCAGTAAGATTCTGTCTAGTTCTTCTCTGAAGACATTTCCTTTTCCAGCGTAGGCCTCAGTGCACTCACAAATATCCCTTTGCAGATTCTACAAAACCTGTTTCTAAACTGTTCCATCAAAAGAAGCATTTAACTATGTGAGAAGAGCACACACATCAAAAAGCAGTTTCTCATAATGCTTCTTTCCAGTTTTTATCTGAAGATATTTATTTTTTCACAAATGGCTTTTTTGAGATACCTAATATCATTTCACAGATTTTGCGAAAACAGTGTTTCCAAACAGCGTTTCCAAACAGCTCAGTAAAAGGAAAGGTTTAATTCTGTGAGATAAATGCACACGACACAAAGCAGTTTCTCAAAAAGTTTCTTTCTATTTTTTATCCGAAGATATTCCATTTTTCATCATAGGCATCAGTGCACTCCCAAATATCCCTTTGCAGATTCTAAAACAAAAAGGTTCCAAACTGCTCAATAAAAAACAGTTTTAACTCTGTGAATTGAATGCACATATCAAAAATCATTTTCTCTAAAAGCTGCTTTCTAGTTTTTATTCAAAGATATTTCCTTTTTCACCCTAGGTGTCAGTGTGCTCCCATATATCCCTTAGCAGATTTTACAAAAACAGTGCTTCCAAACTGTTCCATCAAAAGTACGACTTACTTCTGTGAGATGAATGCACACATCAGAAAGCAGTTTCTCATAACACTTTTTTCCAGTTTTTATCTGAAGGTACTTCCTTGTTCACCATAGTCTTTTTTGCATGCTACTTAATATCACTTCACAGATTTTGCAAAAACAGTCTTTCCAAACTGCTCCATTAAAAGAAAATTTTATCTCTGTGATATTAATGCACACATTACATATCAGTTTCCTAAAAAGCTTCTTTCTAGTTTTTATCCCAAGATATTTTCTTTTTCACCATAGGCCTCAGAGTGCTGCAAAATATTCCTTTCCAGTTTCTACAAAAACCGTGTTTCCAAACTGCTCAATCAAAAGAAAGGTTTAACTCTGTGAGATGAATGCACATATCACAAAGCAGTTTCTCTGATACCTCCTGTCTAGTTCTTCTCTGAAGATATTTCCTTTTCCAGCATAGTCCCTACTGTACTCCCAAATATCCCTTCACAGATTCTACAAAACCAGTGTTTCCAAACTGTTCCATCAAAAGAAGAACTTAACTCTGTGAGATGAACAGACCYATCATAAAGCAGTTTCTCAGAAAGCTTCTTTCTTTTTTTTTGACTTGAGTCATTTCCTTTTTCACTGTGGGCCTCAATGTGCTCCAAAATAAGCCTTCGCAGATTCTGCCAAAGGGTGCTTGCAAATGTCTTCATCAAAGGAAAAATTTAACACTGTTAAATGAATTCACACATCAGAAATCAGTGTCTCAGAAGGCGTCTTTCCAGGTTTTTTTCTGAAGATACTTCCTTTTTCACCATAGGCATCTTTGCGCTACCTAATATCCTGTCTCAGATGCTACAAAAACAGTGTTTATAAACTGCTTAATCAAAAAACAGGTTTAGCTCTGTGAGTTGCAGGCACGCATCACAAAGCTGTTTCTCAGGAATCTTCTTTCATATTTTTATCTAAAGATATTTCCTCTTTCACCATAGGCTTCAGTGCACTCCCAATTATCCCTTCACAGATTCTAAAAAAACTGTGTTTCCAAACTGCTCAGGAAAAACAAAGGTTTTACTCTGTGAGATGAATGCATGCATCTCAAAGCGGATTCTCAAAAAGCTTCTTYCTAGTTGTTATTCAAACATCTTTCCTTTTTCATCATAGGCTTCAATGCACTATGAAATATCCTTTCGCAGATTCTACGAAAACAGTGTTTTCAAAATAATCAATCAAAAGAAAGGTTTTACTCTGTGAGATGAATGCACCCATCACAAAGCAGTTTATCAGACAGCTTCTGTCTGGTTATTCTCTGAAGATAGATATTTCCTTTTCCACCATAGGCCTCAATGTGCTCCCAAGTGTCTCTTTGCAGAGTCTACAAAACACTGGGTTTCCGAACACTTCCATCAAAAGAAGGATTTAACTCTGTGACGTGAAGGCACACATCAGAAAGCATTTTCTCATAACACTTCCTTCCAGTTTTTATCTGAAGACATTAATTTGTTCACCATAGGCCTTTTTGTACAACACAACATCACTTTGCAGATTATACAGAAACAGTGTTTCCAAACTACTAAGTCAAAAGAAAAGTGTAACTCTGTGAAATGAATGCATACATTAAAAAAGCAGTTTCTCAAAGAGCTTCTTTCTAGTTTTTAACTGATGACATTTCCTTTTTCACCATAAGCATCAGTGGTGTCCCAAATATCCCTTTGCAGATTCTACAAAAACAGTGTTTCCAAATGCCTCAATCAAAAGAAATCTTTAACTTTCTGAGATGAATGCACACATTACAAAGCTGTTTCTCAGAAAGCTTCTTACTTGTTTTTATCTGAAAATAATTCCTTTTTCACCATAGGCTTCTGTGTGCTCCCAAATATCCCTTTGAAGATTCAACAAAAACAGTATTTCCAAACTGCTCAATCAAAAGAAAGTTTAAACTCTGTGAGATGAATGCAAACATCACAAAGCAGTTTCTAAAAAAGCTTCTGTTTAGTTTTTCTCTGAAGACATTTCTTTTTCCACCATATGCCTCAATGCGTTCCCAAATATCCCTTTGCAGATTATACAAAAACAGTGTTTCCAAACTGTTCCATCAAAAGAAGGACTTAACTCTATGAGATGAACATGCACATCAGAAAGCAGATTCTCATAACCTTTCTTTCCAGTTTTTCTCTGAAGATATTTACCAGTGCACCATGGACATTTTTGGGCTACTTAACATCACTTCACAGATTATACAGAAAAAGTGTTTCCAAACTGCTCAGTCAAAAGAAAAGTTTAACTTTGTGAGATGAATGCATACATCACAAATCAGTTTCTCAGAAAGTTTCTTTCTAGTGTTTATCTAAAGTTGTTTCTCTTTTCACCATAGGGCTTCTGTGCTCCCAAATATCCCTTTGCAGATTCTAGAAAAACAGTGTTTCCAAACTACTGAATCAAAAGAATGTTTCAGTTCTGTGCAGTGAATGCACACATCACAAAACAGTTTCTCAGAAGGCTTCTTTCTAGTTTTCATCCGAAGAAAATTTCTTTTTCACCATAGGCCTCAGTGGCTTTCAAATAACTCTTTTAAGATTCTACATATACAGTGTTTACAAACTGATCAATCAAAGGAAATGTTTAACTCAGTGAAAGGAATGCACACATTACAAAACTGTTTCCCAGAAAACTTCTTTCATGTTTTTATCTGAATTAATTTCCTTTTCCACCAAAGGCCTCTTGTGCTCCCAAATATCCCTTGGCAGATTCTACAAAACACTTTTTCCAAACTGCTCCATCAAAAGAAAGGTTTACCTCTGTGAGGTGAATACACACATCACAAGGCAGTTTCTCAGAATCTTTCTGTCTAGTTGTCCTCTGAAGTTATTTCATTTTCCACCATAGGCCTCAATGTGATCCCAAATATTCCTTTGCCTATTCTACAAAAACACTATTTCCAAACTGTTTCATGGAAAGAAGGATTTAACTCTGTGAGATGAAAGCACTAATCTGAAAGCAGTTTCTCATAATGATTCTTTCCAGGTTTTATCTAAAGATATTTCCTTGTTCACCATAGGCCTCTTAGTGCTACATAACATGGCTTCACAGATTATCCAAAAAGAGTGTGTACATACTGCTCAGTCAAAAGAAAAGTTTAACACTGTGAGATGAATGCAAGCAACATCAAGCAGTTTCTCACAAAGCTTCTTTCTAGTTTTTATCAGAAGTCATTTCCTTTTTCACCATAGGATCAGTGTGCTCCAAAATATCCCTCTGCAGGCTCTAAAAAAAAGTTTTTCCAAACTACTCAATCAAAGAAATTGTTAACTCTATGAGATTAATGCATACATCACAAAGCAGTTTCTCAGAAAGCTTCTTTCTGATTTTTATCTGAAGTTATTTCCTTTTTCACCATAGGCCTCGTGTGCTAACAAATATCCCTTCACAGATTCTACCAAATGTGTTTACAAGCTGATCAATCTAAAGAGAGGTTTAACTCTGTGAGATCAATGCACACAACACAAAGCAGTTTCTCACTATGCTCCATTTTCGTTTTTATCCAAAGGTATTTCCTTTATTACCATAGGCCTCAATGTGCTCCCAAATATGCATTTGCAGATTCTACAAAAACAGTGTGTCCAAACTGATCAATCAAAAGAGACGTTTAACTCTGTGAGATAAATGCACACGTCACAAAGAAATTTCTCAAAAAGCTTCTTTCTAGTTTTTATGTGAAAATATTTTCTTTATCACCATAGGCTTCAATGCTCTCCCAAATATCCTGTCACACACTCTACAAAAAATAGTGTTTCCAATCTGCTCAATCAAAAACAGGTTTAAATCTTGCAGTTAAATGCACACATCACAAGACATTTCTCAAAAAGCTTCTTTCTAGTTTTTATCTGAAGATATTTCCATTTTCACCACAGGCCTCAGTGCACTCCCAGCTATATCTGTGCAGATTCTACAAAAACAGGGTCTCCAAAATGCTCAAACAAAAGAAAGGTTTAACTCTGTGAGATGAATACACACATCATAAAGCAGTTTTTCAGAAAGCTTCTGTCTAGTTCTTCTCTGAAGATATTTCCTTTTCCACCATAGGCATAAATGCACTCCCAAATATTCCTTCGCAGACTCTGCAAAAAAAGTGTTTCCAAACTGTTCAAACAAGAGACATTTAACTCTGTGAGATGAACACCCACATCAGAAAGGAGTTTCTTCTAATGCTTCTTTCCAGTTTTTATCTGAAGATATATACTTGTTCACCATAGGCCTTTTTGTGCTACCTAACATCTCTTCACAGATTATACACAAACAGTGTTTCCAAACTGCTCAGCCAAAAGAAAGGTTTAACTCTGTGAGATGAATGCATACATCACGAAGCAGTTTCTCAAAAATCTTTCTAGATTTTAATGAAGATATTTCCTTTTTCACCCTGGGCATCATTGGGTCCTGAAATATCCCTTTGCAGATTCTACAAAAACAGTATTTCCAAACTGCTCAATCAAAAGAAACGTTTAATTCTTTAAGAAGAATGCACACATCACAAAGCAGTTTCTCAGAAAGCTTCTTTCTAGTTTTTATTTGAAGTTATTTCCTTTTTCACCATAGGCCTCGTGGACTCCCAAATATCCCTTCACAGATTCTACAAAAGTAGAGTTTCCAAACTGATCAATCAAAAAAAGTTGTAACTCTGTCAGATGGATGCATACATAACAAACAGCTTCTCAATAAGCTTCTTTCTAGTTTTTATCAAAAGATATTTCCTTTTTCTCCATAGGCTTCAATGAGCTCTCAAGTATCACTTTGCAGATTCCACATAAACAGTTTTTCCAAACTGCTCAATCAAAAGAAAGGGTTAACTCTATGAGTTGCATGCATACATCATAAAGCAGTTTCTCAGAAATCTTCTCTCTAGTTCTTCTCTGAATATATTTCATGTTCCACCATAGGCCTCAGTGCACTCCCAAATATCCCTTCTCAGATTCTACAAAAAAAAGCGTTTCCAAAACTTTTCCATGAAGAGAAGGACTTAACTCTGTGAGATGAATGCAAACATCAGAAAGCAGTTTCTCATAATGCTTCTTTCTACTTTTTATCTGAAGGTATTTCCTTGTTCACCAAAGGCTTTCTTGCACTACAAAATATCACTTCACAGATTTTGCAAAACACTGTTTCCAAACTGCTCATTCAAAAGAAAGTTTTAACTCTGTCAGATGAATGCACACATCACAAAGTGGTTTCTCAAAGTGCTTATTTCTCATTTTTATCTGAATATATTTCTTTTATCACCATAGGCTTCTATGCACTCCCAAATATCCTGTCACAGATTCAACAAAAACAGTGTTTCCAAACTCTTCAATCAGAAAACAGATTATCTCCTTTGAGTCAAATGCACACATCACAAAGCCATTTCTTAAAAAGCTTCTTTTTAGTTTAAATAAAAACTAAAGGTTTTGAAGATTTTCCTTTTTCTCCATAGGCCTCAGTGCACTCCAAACTATACATTTGCATATTTACAAAAACAGTGTTCCAATCTGCTAAATAACAAGAAAGGTTTTACTCTGTCAGAAGAATGCACACATCACAGTTTCTTAGATAGCTTCTGTATAGTTTTTCTCTGAAGATAGCTCCTTTTCCACCATAGCCCTCCCAAAAATGTATACTCCCAAAAATCCCTTCACAGATTGTACAAAAACAGAGTTTCCAAACAGTTCCATCAAAAGGACTTAACTCCGTGAGATGAATGCACATATCAGAAAGCAGTTTCTCATAATGCTTCTTTCTATTTTTTATCTGAAGATATTTCCTTTTTTACCATAGGCCTCTGCACTCCCAAATATAGCTTTGCAGATTCTACAAAAAGATGTTTCCAAACTGCTCAATCAAAAGAAAGGTTTACTTCTGTGAGATGTATGTACACATCACAAAGCAGTTTTTCAGATAGCTTCTGTCTAGTTTTTCTCTGAGGATATTTTCTTTTTCACTATAGACTTCAATATGCTCACAAATATCCCCTTGCAGGGTCTACAAAAACTGTGTTTCCAAACTGCTTAATCCAAAGAGGGTTTAGCTCTGTGAGATGACTGCACACAGCACAAAGCAGTTTCTCATAAAATTTCTTTGCAGTTTTTACCCAAAGATATTTCCTTGTTCACCATAGGCCTTTTTGCACTACCTAACTTCCCTTCACAGAGTCTACAAAAAAGGTGTTTCCAAACTGCTCAATCAAAAGAAAAGTTTTGCTCTGTGAGATGAATGCACAGATCACAAAGCAGTTTCTCAAAATACTTCTTCCTAGTTTTCAACCGAAGATAGTTCCTTTTTCACCATAGGCTTCAATGTGCTCCCAAATGCCCCTCCACAGATTCTACAAAAACAGTGTTTCCAAACAGCTCAATCAAAAGAAACTTTTAACTCTCTGAGATGACTGCACACATCACAAAGCAATTTCTCATAAAACTTCTGTCTAGTTCTCTGAAGATATTTCCTTTTCCACTGTAGGCCTCAATGTGCTCCCAAATATCCCTTCGCAGATTCTACAAAATAAGTGTTTAGAAACTGTTCCATCAAAAGAAGGACTTAACTCTGTGATATGAATGCACACTTCAGAAAGCAGTTTCTCATAACGCTTCTTTCCAGTTTTTTTCTGAAGATATTTCCGTGTTGATCAAGGGCTATTTTGCGGTATCTATTATTGCTTTGCAGATTTGCAAAAACAGTGTTTCCAAACTGGTCAGTCAAAAGAAAGGTTTAACTCTGTGAAATGAATGTACACATCACAAAGAACTTTCTCAAAATGCTTCTTTCTAATTTTTATTCTAAGATATTTCATTTATCACCATAGGCTTCAATGCACTCCCAAATATCCAATCACATATTCTACAAAGAGATTGTTTCTTAACTGCTCAATCAAAAACCAGATTTAACTCTGTGAGTTGAGTGCACACATAACAAAGCAGTTTCACAAAAAATTTCTTTCAAGTTTTTATCCAAAAATATTTTCTTTTCCACCATAGGCCTCAGTGGGCTCCCAAATATACCCTTGCAGATTCTACAAAAACAGCGTAGAACCTGTTCCATCAAAACTGCACAGTTTTTGTCTGAAAACCAAACTGCACAATCAAAAGAAAGTTTTAACTCTGTCAGATGAATGCACACATCAGAAGCAGTTTCTTATAATGCTTCTTTCCTGTTTTTATGTGAAAATATTTCCTTTTTCACAATAGGCTTTTTTTCCTACCTTATATTGCATTACAGATTTTGCAGAAACAATTTTTCCAAACCTCTCAGTCAAAAGATAAGTTTAACTATGTGAGATGAATGCCCAAATCACAAAGCAGTTTCTCAAAAACTTCTTTCTAGTTTTTATCCAAAGGGATTTCCTTTACTGCCATAGGCTTCAATGCACTCCCAAATATCCTGTTTCAGATTCTACAAAGAGAGTGTTTCCAAACTGTTCAATCAAAAAACAGGTTTAACTCTGTGAGGTGAATGCATACATCACAAAGCAGTTTCTCAATAAGCTTCTTTCTAGTTTTAATCCGAATGTATTTCCTTTTTCAATATAGGCCTCTGTGCACTCCCAAATATACCTTTGCAGATTCTATAAAAACAGTGTTTCCAAACTGCTCAATCAAAAGAAATGTTTAACTATATCAGATGAATGTACACATCATAAAGCAGTTTCTCTGATAGCTGCTGCTTCTGTGAAGATATTTCCTTTTCCAACATATGCCTCAATGTGCTTCCAAATATTCCTTTACCAATTCTATGAAAACAGCTTTTCCAATCTGTTCCATCAAAGGAAGGATTTTACACTGTGAGATGAACGCACATGTCAGAGAGCAGTTTCTCTTAATGCACCTTTCCAGTTTTTATCTGAAGATGTTTCCTTGTTCACCATAGGCCTTTTTGGGATATGTAACATTACTTCCTAGATTATAGAAAAACTGTGTTTCCAAACTGCTAAGTCAAAAGAAAAGTTTAACTCTGTGCGATGAATGCACACATCACAAAGCAGTTTCTCAGATAGCTTCTGTATAGTTCTTCTTTGGAGATATTCCCTTTTCCACCATAGGCCTCAATGCGCTCCCGAGTATCCCTTCACAGATTCTATAAATACTGTGTTTCCAAACTCTTCCACCAAAACAATGATTCAACTCTCTGAGATGAGTGCACACATCAGAAAGCAGTTTCTCATAATGCTTCCTTCCAGTTTTTATTGAAGATATTTCCAGTTCACCATAAGCCATCTTGCGCTACCAAACATTGCTTCACAGATTATGCAGAAACAGTGTTTCCAAACTGTTCCATCAAAAGAAGGACTTAACTCTGTGAGATGAATGCACACATCTGAAAGCAGTTTCTCATAATGCTTCTTTCCAGTGTTTATCTGATGATATTTCCTTTTTCAGCATAGGCTTTTTTGTGTTGCCTTATATTGCTTTGCAGATTTTCAGAAAAAAAAAAGGGTTTCCAAACTGCTCAGGCAAATGAAAGTTTTAACTCTCTGAGTCAAACACACACATCACAAAGTAGTTTCTCTGAAAGCTCCTTTATAATTTTTATCTGGAGATATTATTACCTTTTTCAGCATAGGCCTCAATGAGCTCCCAAATAACCCTTCGTAGATACTGCCAAAGGGGTGTTTCCAAACGGCTCAAGCAAAGGAAAGATTTAACACTGTGAAATGTATGCAGACATCACAAATCAGTGTCTCAGAAAGATTCTTTCCACTTTTTAAATTAAGATATTTACTTTTTCACCATAGGCCTCTTTGAACTCCCAAATATCACTTTGTAGATTATACAAAAACAGTGTTTCCAAACTGCTGTATCAAAAGAAATGTTTAATTCTGTGAGATGAATGCATACATCTGAAAAAGTTTCTCAAAAATTTCTTTGTAGTTTATATCTGAAGATACTTCATTTTTCACCATTGCCTTCTATGAGCTCCCAACAATCCATTCGCAGATCCTACAAAAAGAGGGTTTCCAAACAGCTTAATCAAAATACAGTTTTAATACTGTGAGATGAAAGCACACATCTCAAAGCAGTTTCACAAAAAGTTTCTTTCTAGTTTTTTTCTGTAGATATTTCCTTTTTCACCTTAGGCTTCAATGTGCTCCCAAATATCCCTTCGCAGATTCTACAAAACCAGTGTTTGCAAAGTGCTCAATCAGAAGAAATGCTTAACTCTGTGAGATGAATGCACACATCATGAAGGAGTTTCAAAGAAAGCTTCTGTCTAGTTCTTCAATGAAGATATTTACTTTTCCAGCTTACACCTCTATGTGCTCCCAAATATGCCTTCACAGATTCTACAAAAACAATGTTTACAAACTGTTCCATCAAAAGAAGGACTTAACTCTGTTGGATGAGCACACACAAAAGAAAGCAGTTTCTCACAACCATTCTTTCCAGTTTTGATATGAGGATATTTTGTTTTTCAATCTTGGCTTTTTTGAGCTACAAATGATCACTTCAGAAATTATACAAAAACAGTGTTTCCAAACTACTCAGTGAAAAAAAAGTTTACCTCTGTGAGATGAATGGACACACCACAAAAGAGTTATTCAATAAGCTTCATTCTAGTTTTTATTGGAATATATTTCCTTTTTCACCATAGGCCTAACTGTGCTTTCAAATATCCCATAGCAGATACTACAAAAATAGTGTTTCCAAACTGCTCAATCAAAGGAAATGTTTAAATATGTGAGAAGAATGCACACATCACAAAGTGGTTTCTCAGAAAGCTTCTTTGTAGTTTTTATCTGAAGTTATTTCCTTTTTCACCATAGGCCACCATGTGCTCCCAAATATCTCCTCACAGAGTCTACCAAAACACTCTTTCCAAAGTGCTCAATCAAAAGAAAGTTTTCACTCTGTCAGATGAATGCTCACATCAATTTCTGAGAAAGACTCTTTCTGGTTTTTATCTGGAGATATGTCATTTTTCACTGTAGACCGAAATGCGCTCCCAAATAACTCTTTGCAGTTTCTGCCAAAAGGGTGTTTCCAAATATCTCCATCTAAGGAAAGATTTAACACTGTGAAATGAATGCACACATCACAAACCAGTGTCTCAGAAGGCTTCTTTCCAGTTTTTATCCTAAAATATTTCCTTTTTCACCATAGGCCTCTTTATGCTAAAAAATTTGACTTTGTAGATTATACAAAAACAGTGTTTCCTAACTGCTCTATCAAAAGAAAGGTTTAACTCTGCGAGATGAATGCTCACATCACAAAGCAGTTTCTCAAAAAGCTTCTTTCTAGTTTTTAATCTGAGGATAGTTCTTTTTCCTCCAAAGGCCTCACTGCACCTCCAAATATCCCTGCACAGATTCTACAAAAACGATATTTTCAAACTGCTCTATCAAAAGAAATGTTTAACTCTGTGAGATGAATGCACACACCAGAAAGTAATTTCTCATAATGCTTCTTTCCAGTTTTTATCTGAAGTTATTTCCTTGTTCACCAGAGTCTTTTTTGTGCTATCAAGTATCACCTCACAGAGTTTGCAAAAACAGTGTTTCCAAACTGCTACATCAAAAGAAACGGTAAACTCTGTGAGATGAGTGCCCACTTCACTAAACAGTTTCCCAAAAAGCTTTCTAGTTTTTATGCAAAGATATTGCCTTTTTCAATGTAGGCCTCAGTGCGCTCCCAATTATCCCTTCGCAGTTTCTGTAAAAACAGTGTTTCCAAACTGCTCAATCAAAGGAAAGTTTTAACTCTGTGAGATGAATGTAAACCTCACAAAGAAATTTCTCCAATAGCTTCTGTCTAGTTCTTCTCTGAAGATATTTCATTTTCAATCAGAGGCCTCAATACGCTCCTGTATATTCTTTTGCAGATTCTATAAAACCAGAGTATCTGAACTGTTCCATCAAAACAATGACTACACACTGTGAGATGAATGCACACATCAGAAAGCAGTTTCTCATTATGCTTCTTTCCAGTTTTTATCTGAAAATATTTCCTTGTTCACCATAGGCCTTTTTGGGCTACTTAACATAGTAWCCCAGATTGTACAAGAACGGTGTTTGCAAACTTCTCAGTCAAAATAAAAGTTTAGCTCAGTGAGATGAATGCATACTTCACTAACAGTTTCTCAAAATTCTTATTTCTATTTTTTATCCGAAGATATTTCCTTTTTTACCATAGACCTCAGTGCGCTCACAAATATCCCTTTGTGGAATCTAAAAAAATAGTGTCCTAAACTGCTCAATCAGAGGAAAGTTTTAACTCTGTGACATGAATGCGTACATAACAAACCAGTTTCTCAGAAAGCTCTGTCCGGTCTCCTCTGAAGATATTTTCTTTTCCACCATAGGCTTCAATGCACTCCCAAATATCCCTTCACAGACTCTACAAAAACAGAGTTTCCAAACAGGTCCATCAAAAAAGACTTAACTCTGAGAGCTGAATGCACACATCAGAAAGCAGTTTCTAATAACGCTTTTTTCTAGTTTTTATCTGAAGATATTTCCTTTTTTGTCACAGGCTTTTATTGCGATACCTAGTATCAATTTTGCAAAAACCGTGTTTCCAAACTGCTCAGTCAAAAGAAAGCTTTAATGTTGTAAGATGAATGCACACATCACAGAGCAGTTGCTCAAATGCTTCTTTCTAGTTTTTATCCAAAGATATATCCTTTTTCACCATAGGCCTAACTGCACTTTCAAATATCCCATTGCAGATTTTACAAAACCAGTGCTTCCAAACTGATCAATCAAAAAACAGGTTTAACACTGTGAATTGAATGCAGACATCACAAAGCAGTTTCTCAAAAAGCACCTTTATTGTTTTAATCTGAAGATATTTTCATTTTTACCATAGGCCTCTGTGTGCTCCCAAATATATCTTTGCAGATTCTATGAAAACATTGTTTTCAAACTGCTCAATCAAAAGAAAGGTTTAATTCTGTAAGATGGATGCACATATCACCAAGCAGTTTCTCAGATAGCTTCTGTCTAGTTTTTCTCTGAAGATACTTCCTTTTTCACTTTAGGAGTCAAAGTGTTCCCAAATAATCATCTGCAGATTCTATAAAAATGGTGTTTCTGAACAGTTCTATTCAATGAAGGATTTAACTGTGTGAGATGAGTGCATAAATAAGAAAGCTGTTTCTCCTAACACTTCATCCCAGTTTTTATCTGAAGATATTTCCTTGTTCACCATAGGCCTCTTTGCCCTACATAATACCACTTCACAGGTAATACAAAAACAGTGTTTCCAAACTGCTCAGTCAAAACAAATGTTTAACTTTATGCGATGAATGCTCACCTCCAAAAGCAGTTTCTCAAACAGGTTCTTTCTAGTTTTTATCTGAAGGTATTTCCTTTTTCACCACAAGCTTCAATGGGTTCCCAAATATCACTTCACAGATTCTGCAAAAAAAGTGTTTCCAAACTGCTCATTCAAAAGAAAGGTTTAACTCTGTGAGATGAATGCACACATCACAAAAGACTTTCTCAGACAGCTTCTATCTAGTTCTTCTCTGAAGATATTTGCTTTCCCACCATAGGCCTCAATGCACTCCCAAATACCCTTTGGAGATTCTACAAAAACATTGTTTCTAAACTGTTCCATCAAAAGAAGGACTTAACTCTGTGAGATGAATGCAACATCTGAAAGCAGTTTCTTATAATACTTCTTTCCAGTATTAATCTGAAGATATTTCCTTTATCAATGTAGGCATTTTTGCACTAATATCGCTTTGCAAATTATACAAAAACAGTGTTTCCAAACTGCTCAGTCAAAACAAAGGTTAACTCTGTGAGATGAATGCACACATCAGAAAGCAGTTACTCAAAAAAATTCTTTCTAGTTTATATTCGAAGATATTTCTTTTTTCACCACCATCCTAACTACTCTTCCAAATATCCCATTGAAGATTTTACAAAAACAGTGTTTCCAAACTGCTCCATAAAGAACAGGTTTAACTCCGTTAGTTGAACACACAAATCACAAAGCAGTTTCTCAGAAAGCTTGTTCCTAGTTTTTATCTGAAGATATTTCTTCTTTCACCATAGGCATCAGTGTGCTCCCAAATATCCCTTCACAGATTATATGAAAACGGTGTTACAAAACAGCTCAATCAACAAAAACGTTTACCTCTGTGAGAAGAATGCAAACATCACAGATCGATTGCTGAGAAAGCTTCCTTCTAGTTTTTATCTGAAGTAATTTCCTTTTTCACCATACACTTTGAATGCTTCCAAATATCCCTTCACAGATTGTACAAAAACAGTGTTTCAAATTGAACAATCAAAAGAAAGGTTTACCACCGTGAGATGAATGCATACATCACACAGCAGTTTCTTAGAAAGCTTCTTTCTAGTTTTTATCCGATGATATTTTCTTTTCACCATAGGATTCAATGTGCTCCCAAATATCCCTTCACAGATTCTACAGATACAGGCTGTCCAAACTGCTGAAAATTCTTTTCAGACAAGAAAAGAAAGGTTTAACTGTCTGGAGTGAATGCACACATCACAAAGCAGTTTCTCAGATAGCTTCCTTCCAGGTTTTATCCTGGGATATTCACTGTTTAGCCATTGGCCTCAATGAGTTCTGAAATGTCCATTTGCAGAATGAATGAAAACAGTGTCTCCAAACTGCTAAATCCCAAAAACAGTTTAACTCTGTGATGAGAATGCACACATCTCAAAGCAGTTTCTCAGAAAGCATCTTTCTAGTTTTTATCTAAAGATATTTCCTTTTTCACCGTAGGCCTCAATGCACTCCAAAATATCCCTTTGCAGATTCTACAAATACAGTGTTTCCAAACCGCTGAATGAAAAGAAAGGTTTAACTCTACGATGTGAAAGCACACATCACAAAGCGGTTACTCAGATAGCTTCCTCCTAGTTTTTATCCTGGGCTATTCACTGTTTTGCCATTGGCATCAATGAGCTCCCTAATATCCCTTTGCAGACTCGACAAAAACAGTGTTTTCAAAAAGCTCCATCAGAAGAAAATTTTGTCTCTGTGAGATGAATGCAGACATCAGAAATCAGTTTCTCTGAAATCTTCTTTCTAGTTTTTATCTAAAGATATTTCCTTTTTGGCCATAGGCCTCAATGTGCACCAAAATAGGCCTTTGGAGTTCCTACAAAAACCTTGTTTCCACACTGATCCAACAAAGGAAAGTTTTAACTCTGTGAGATGAATGCACACATCACAAAGTAGTTTCTCAGAAAGCTTTTGTCTAGTTTTTCTCTGAAGATATTTCCTCTGTCAACTTATGCTTCAATGAACTCCAAAATATCCCTTCGCAGATTCTGCAAAAACAAATTTTCAAAACTGCTCAATCACAAGAAATGTTTTACTTTGTAAGATGAATGCACACATTGCAAATCAGTTTCTCAGAAAACGTCTTTATAGTTTTTCTCTTAAGATATTTCCTTTTTCACTATAGGCCTCATTGTGCTCCCAAATATCCCTTTGCAGATTTCACAAAAACAGTGTTTCAAAACTGCTCAATCAAAAGAAAATGTAATTCTGTGAGATGAATGCACACATCACAAAGCAGTTTCTCAGAAAGTTTCTTTGAAGTTTTCATCTGAAGATATTTCCTTTTTCACCATAGGCATCAATGAGCTCCCAAATATCCCATCCCAGATTCTACAAAAACAGTGTTTCCAAACTGCTCTGTCAAAAGAAGGGTTTAACTCTGTGAGATGAATGCACACATCACAAAGCAGTTTGTCAAAACGCTTCTTTCTAGTTTTTATCTGAAGATATTTCCTTTTTCACAATAATCCACAGTGTGCTCCCTAATATACCTTTGCAAATTCTACAAAAACAGTGTTTCCAATCTGCTCAATCAAAATAAAGGTTTAACTCGGTGACATGAATGCACACATCAAAAATCAATTTCTCAGACAGCTTCTGTCTAGTTCTTCTCTTAAGATATTTCCTTTTTCATCATAGGCCTCAATGTGCTCCTAAATATCCCTTCCATATTGTATAAAAATAGTGTTTCTGAACTGTTCCATTAAAAGAAAGATTTACCTCTCTAAGATGAATGCACACATCAGAAACCAGTTCCTAATAACACTTCTTTCCATTTTTTATCTGAAACTATTTCCTTGTTCAACATAGGCCTTTTTGCGCTACCTAATATCACTTAAAAGATTATACAAAATCAGTGTTTCCAAACTGCTCAGTCAAAAGAAAAGTTTAATTCTGTAAGATGAATGCATACATCACAAAGCAGTTACAAAAAGCTGCTTTGTAGTTTTTATCTGAAGATATTTCCTTTTTCACTATAGGCTTCAGTGTGTTCCCAAATATCCCTTTGCAGATTCTACAAAAACAGTGTTTCCAAACAGCGCAATCAAAAGAACCTTTTAACTCCATGAGAAGAATGCATACATTACAAAGCAGTATTACAAAAGCTTATTTTTAGATTTTATTTGAAGATATTTCCTTTTTCACCGTAGAAGTTCAATGTGCACCCAAATATCACTTTGCAGATTCTACAAAAACTGTGTTTCCAAACCGCTGTATCAAAAGAAAGGTTTAACCCTGTGAGATGAATGCACACTTCCCAAAGCAGTTTCTCAGAAAGCTCTTGTCTCCTTCTTCAATGAAGATAATTCCTTTTCCACCTTAGGCCTCAATGTGCTCCCAAATATCCCTTCTCCAATTCTACAAGAACAGTGTTTCCAAACTGTTCCATCAAACGAAGGACTTAACTCTGTGATCTGAATGCACACATCAGAAAGCAGCTTCTCAAAACTCTTCTTTCCACTTTTAATCTGAAGATATTTCCTTTTTTACCATAGGCTTTTCTGTGCTAGCTAATATCCCTTCACAGATTACACAAAAAGTGTTTCCAAACTGCTCAGTCAAAAGAATGGTGAATCTCCTTAAGACGAGTGCACACATCACAAAGCAGTTTCACAAAAAGCTTCTTTCTAGTTTTTATCCAAATATATTTCCTTTTTCACCATAGGCCTAACTGCACTTTCAAATATCCCATTGCATATTCTACAAAAACAGTTTTTTCAAACTCCTCAATCAAAAGAAAGGTTTAAATCTGTGGGAAGAATACACACATCACAAACTGGTTTCCCACAAAGCTTCATTATACTTCTAATCTGAAGTTATTTCTTTTTTTACCATTAGGTAAGTTCAATCCCAAATATCCCTTGGCAGATTCTACCAAAACACTGTTTCCACACTGCTCAATCAAAAGAAAGCTTTAACTCTGTCAGATGAATGCACACATCAGAGAGCAGTTTCTGAGAAAGATTCTTTCTAGCTTTTATCTGGAGATATTTCCTTTTTCACCACAGGCCTCAATGTGATCCAAATTAAATATTTGCAGATTCCACCAAAAGTTCGTCTCCAAATGGCTCCATCAAAGGAAAAATTTAACAATGTGAAATGAATACACACATCACAAATCAGTGTATCAGAAATGGTCTTTCCAGTTTTTATCTGAAAATACTTCTTTTTTCACCATAGGCCTCTTTGTGACACAAAATATCACTTCACAGGTTATACAAAAACATTGTTTCCAAACTTCTGTGTCAAAAGAAAAGTTTAACTCTGTGAGATGAATGCATATATCATCACAATGTAGTCTCTCAAAAATCTTCTGTCTAGTTTTTATACGAAGATATTTCTTTTTTCACCAGTCTTCAATGTGCTCCCAAATATCCCTTTGCAGATTCTACAAAACCAGTGTTTTAAAACTGCTCTATCAAAAGAAAGATTTAACTCTGTGAGATAAATACATACATCAAAATGCAGTTTCTCAGATAGATGCTGTCTAGTTCTTTTCTGAAGTTATTTCCTTTTCCACCATAGGCCTCAATTTGCTCTTAAATGTCGCTCCACACATTCTATAAAAACAATGTTTCTGAACTGTTCCATCAAAAGAAAGATGTAATTCTGTGAGATGAATGCACACATCAGAAAGCAGTTTTTCATAACGCTTCTTTCCAGTTTTTATCTGATGATATTCCCTTGTTCACCATAGGCCTTTTTGTGCTACAAAACATGGCCTTGCAGGTTATACAAAAACATTGTTTCCAAACAGCTCACTCAAAAGAAAAGTTTAAGTCTGTCAGGTGTATGCAAAGATCACAAAGCAGTTTCTCAAAAAGCTTCTTTCTAATTTTCATCCAAAGATATTTCCTTTTTCACCATAGGCCTCAGTGCGATACCAAATATTGCTTTGCAGAATATACAAATACAGTGTTTCCAAACTGCTCAATCAAAAGAAAGATTTAACTCTTTGAGAAGAATGCACATTTCACAAAGCAGTTTCTCATAAAGATTCTCTCTAGTTTTTCTGTGTAGCTATTTCATTTTTCAACATAAGCTTCAAAGCACTCAAAAATATCCCTGTGCTGACAAATATCTCTTCACAATGTAAATCCCTTCACAGATTCTACAAAAACAGTGTCTCCAAACTGTTGCATTATAAGAAAGGTGTACCTCTGTGAGATGAATGCACACATCAGAAAGCAGTTTCTCATAACGTTTCTTTCCAGTTTTTATCTGAAGATATTTCCTTTTTCGACCTTTGCTTTTTGAGCTACCTAACAACGCTTCACAGATTTTGCAAAAACAATGTTTCCAAACTGCTCAGCCAAAACAAAGATTTAACTCTGTGAGATGTATGCACGCATCACAAAGCAGTTTCTCAAAAACTTCTTTCTAGTATTTATCTGAAATTTTCCCTTTATCACCATAGGCTTCAATGCGCTCCCAAATAACCTTTTGAATATTCTACAACAACACTGTTTCCAAACTGCTCAATCAAGAAACAGGTTCAACTCTGTGAGTTGAATGCACTCATCACAAAACATTTTCTCAAAAATCTTCTTTCCTGTTTTTATCTGAAGATATTTCTTTTTCACCATAGGCCTCAGTTGCACTCYCAAATATAACTTTGCAGATTCTACAGAAACAGTGTTTCCAAACTGCTCAATACACAGAAAGTTTTATTCTGTGAAATGAATGCACACATCACAATGTAGTTTCTCAGAAAGTTCCTGTCTAGTTCTTCTCTGAAGATATTTCCTTTTTCACCGTAGGCCTCAATGCACTGCCCAATATCCCTTCACAGATTCTACAAAATCAGTGTTTCCAAACTGTTCCATCAAAAAAAGAACTGAACTCTGTGAGATGAATTCACACATCAGAAAGCAGTTTCTCATAATGCTTCCTTCCAGTTTTTATCTGAAGATATTTCCTTGTTCACCATAGGCTTTTTTGCATTACTCAACTTCGCTTCACAGATTCTACAAAAGGAGTGTTTCCAAACTGCTAAATGAAAAGAAATGTTTAACTCTGTGAGATGAATACACACATCACAAAGCAGTTTAACAAAAAAGGTCATTTCTAGTTTTTATCCAAAAAATTTCCTTTTTCACCGTAGGACTCAGTGTGCACCCAATTATACCTTTGAAGATTCGACAAAAACAGTTTTTCCAAATGGCTCAATTAGCCAAAAAGGTTTAACTCTGTGAGACAAATGCACACATCACAAAGAAGTTTCTCAAAGGCTTCTGTCTAGTTCTTCTCTGAAGATATTTCCTTTTCCACCATAGGTCTCGATGTGCTCCCTAATATCACTATGTAGATTCTATAAAAACAGTGTTATCGAACTTTTCCATCAAAAGAAGGATTTAACTCAGTGAGAKGAACACACACATCAGAAAGCAGTTTCTTATAACTCTTCTTTCCAGTTTTTATCTGATATTTCCTTGTTCACCATAGGCCTTCTCATGCCACCTAACATTGCTTCACAGATTATAGGAAAACAGTGTTTCCAAACCACTCAGTCAAAATAAAAGTTTAACTCTGTGAGAAAAATGCATACATTGCAAGGCAGTTTCTCATAGAGCCTCATTCTACTTTTTATCCAAAGATATTTCCCATTTCACTGTATTCATCAGTGCTCTCCCAAATATCCCTTTGCAGATTCTACAAAAACAGTGTTTCTGAATTACTCAGTCAAAATAAACATTTAACTTTGTGAGAAGAATGCACACATTACAAAGCGATTTGTCAGAAAGCTTCTTTCTAGTTTTTATCTGAAGTTATTTCCTTTGTCACATTGKACCTCATGCACTCCCAAATATCCTGTCACAGATTCTGCAAAAACTGTGTTTCCAAATGGTTCAGTCAAAGGAAAAGTTTACCTCTGTGAGATGAATGCATACATCCAAAGCAGTTTCTCAAAGAGCTTCTTTCTATTTTTTGTCTGAATATATTTCCTTTTTCACCAAAGGCATCATTGTGCTCCCAAATATCCCTTTGCAAATTCTACAAAAACAGTGCTTCCCAACTTCTCAACAGAAATAAACGTTTAACTCTGTGAGAAGAATGCACACATCACAAAGCAGTTTCTCAGAAAGCTTCTTTCTAGTTTTTATCTCAAGTTCTTCCCTTTTCGCCATAAGCCTCCTGCACTCTGAAATATCCTTTTGCAGATTCTACAAAAACAGTGATTTCAAACTGGTCAATGAAAGGAAAGTTTTAATTCTGTCACGTGAATACACATATCACACAGAAATTTCTCAGAAAGCTTCTCTCTAGTTCTTCTCTGAATATATTTCCTTTTCCACCATAGACCTCAATGGGTTCCCTAATAGCCCTTCACAGATTCTACAAAAACAGCATTTGCAACCTATACCATCAAAAGAAGAACTTAGCTCTGTGAGATGAATGCACACATCAGAAAGCTGTTTATCATAATGCTTCTTTCCAGTTTTGTCTGAATGTATTTCCCTCTTCACACTAGGCTTTTTTGCATTACCTAATATCGCATCGCGGATTTTATAAAAACAGTGTTTCCAAACTGTTCAGTCAAAAGAAAGTTTTAACAGTGTGAGATGAATGTACACATCACAAAGCAGTTTCTCAAAAAGCTTCTTTCTCGTTTTTATCCAAAGATGTTTCCTTTATCACCATTGGCCACAGTGCGCTCCCAGATATACCTATGCAGATACTACAATAATAGTGTTTCCAAACTGCTCAATCAATACAAAAGTTTAACTTTGTGACAGGAACGAACACATCAGAAAGCAGTTTCTCATAACACTTTTCCCAGTTTATATCTGAAGATATTTCCTTTTTCACCATAGGCTTTTTTGTACTGCCTAATATTACTTTGCAGAGTTTGCAAAAACAGTGTTTCCAAACTGCTCAGTAAAAATAAAAGTTTAACTCTGTGAGATGAATGCACACATCACAAAGCAGTTTCTCAAAAACTTCTCTCTAGTTTTTATCTGAAGATATTTCCTTTATCCCCATAAGCTTTAATGTGCTTCCAAATATCCAGTCACAGATCCTACAAAAACAGTGTTTCTAATCTGCTCAATAAAAAAACCTTTTTAACTCGTTAGTTGAATGCACACATCACAAAGTAGTTTCTAAAAAGCTTTTTTCTAGTTTTTATCCGAAGATATTTCCTTTTTCACCATAGGTGTCAATGCACTCCCAAGTATACATTTGCAGATTCTATGAAAAGAGTATTTCCATACTGCTCAATCAAAAGAAAGGTTTAACTCTGTGAGATGAATGCACACATCACAAAGCAGTTCTCTGATAGCTTCTGTCTAGTTGTTCTCTGAAGATATTTCCTTTTCCACCATAGGACTCAATGGCCTCAAGCATTTAACTCTGTGAGAGCAATGCTGACATCAGAATGCAGTTTCTCACAAAATGTCTTCCTAGTTTTTCTCTGAAGATATTTGCTTTTTCACCATAGACTTCATTGCACACTTCCAATTTCCCTTCACAGATTCTATGAAAATTGGGCTAAGAAACTGTGTCACCAAAAGAAATGTTTGATTCTGTGAGATGAAATCACACATCACAAAGCAGTTTCTCAGAAAGCTTCCTTCCATTTTTCTCTGAAGATATTTCTCTTTTCACAACAAGCCTTAATGTGCTCCCAAGTATCCCTTCATGGATTCTTCAAAAACAGTGATTCCAAAATGTCCCCCAAAAAGAAAGCTCTATCTCTCTGAGATGAATACACACACCACAAAGTAGTTTTTCAGACAGCTTCTGTTTAGTTTTTCCCTGCAGATATTTCTTTTCACCATAGGCCTCAATGCACTCCCAACCATCCCTTCACAGATTCTACAACTACAGTGTTTACAAACTGCTCCATCAAAAGAAAAGTTTAACTCTGTGAGATGAATGCACAGACCACAAAGCAGTTTCTCACAAACCTTCTTTCTAGTTTTTGTCTAAAGATATTTCCATTTTCACCTTAGGCCTCAATGTGCTCTGAAATATCCCTTTGCAGTATATATAAAACCAAGGTTAACAAACTGCTCCATCAAAAGTAAGATTTAACTCTGTGAGATGAATGCACACATCACAAAGCAGTTTTGCAGAAAGCTTCTGTCTAGTTTTTATCTCAAGATATTTCCCTTTTCACCACAGGCATGAAAACACTCCCAAATATGGCTTCACAGATTCTACAAATACTGTGATTTCAAACTGCTCCTTCAAAGGAAAATTTTTTTTCTTTTTTTTCATTTATTATTATTATACTTTAAGTTTTAGGGTACATGTGCACAATGTGCATGTTAGTTACATATGTATACATGTGCCATGCTGGTGCGCTGCACCCACTAACCCATCATCTAGCATTAGGTATATCTCCCAATGCTATCCCTCCCCCCTCCCCCCAACCCACAACAGTCTCCAGAGTGTGATGTTCCCCTTCCTGTGTCCATGTGTTCTCATTGTTCAGTTCCCACCTATGAGTGAGAATATGCAGTGTTTGGTTTTTTGTTCTTGCGATAGTTTACTGAGAATGATGATTTCCAATTTCATCCATGTCCCTACAAAGGACATGAACTCATCATTTTTTATGACTGCGTAGTATTTCATGGTGTATATGTGCCACATTTTCTTAATCCTGTCTATCATTGTTGGACATTTGGGTTTGATTCAAAGGAAAATTTTAACTCTGTGAGATGAATGGACGCATAACAAAGCAGTTTCTCAGAAAGCTTCCTGCTACTTTTTCTCTGAAGATATTTCTCTTTTCACCACAGGCCTTAATGTGCACTGAAATATCCGTTTGCAGATCTTACAACAACAGGGACTCCAAACTGCTAAATCAAAAGAAAGGTTTATCTCTGTGAGATGAATGCTCATATCTCAAAGCAGTTTCTGAGAAAGCTTCCTTCTAGTTTTTCTCTGAAGATATTTATCTTTTCACCACAGGGATCAATCTGCTACCAAATATCCCTTTGCAGATTATACAAAAATAGTTATTCCAAGCTGCCTCATTAAAAGAAAGATTTATCTCTATGAGATGAATGTACACATCACAAAGTAGTTTTTCTGAAAGCTTCTTTCTAGTTTTGCTATGAAGGTATTTCTTTTCAAAATAGATCACAATGTGTTCCTAAATATCCCTTCACAGATTCTACAAATACAGTGTTTTCAAACTGCTCCATCAAAAGAAAATTTTAACTCTTTGAGATGAATGCACACATCAMAAAGCAGTTTCTCAGAGACCTTTCYAGTTTTTGTCTAAAGATATTTCCATTTTAACCATAGGCCTGAATGCACTCCAAATTAGTCCTTTGCAGTTTATTCAAAAGCAAGGTTAAGAAACTGCTCCATAAAAAGAAAGGTTTAACTCTGTCACATGAATGCATACATCACAAAATATTTTCTATGATAGTTTCTTTCTAGTTTTTCTGTGAAGATATATCCTTTTCCACATGAGCACCAAAGGTACTCATAAATATTCCTTCACCAATTGTATAAAAACAGTGTTTACAAACTACTCCATCTAATGAAAGTTTTAACTCTCCAAGGTGAATGCACACATAACAAAGAAGTTTCTTAGAAAGCTTCTTTCTCGATTTTCTCTGAAGATATTTCCCTTTTCACCATAGGCCTGAATGCTCTCCCAAATATCCCTTCACGGATTTCTGCAAAAAGAGTGATTCCAAACTGCTCCRTCAAAAGAAAGATTTAAGTCTGTGTGATGAGTGCACACATCACAAACTGGTTTCTCAGAAAGCTCATTTATAGTTTTTCTCTGAAGATATTTCCTTTTTTCCTGTAGGCCTCAATATGCTCTGAAATATCTCTTCACAGATTCTACAAATACAGTTTTTCCATAATGCTCCATGTAAATACAGTTTTAACTCAGTGAGATGAATGCACACATCAGAAAGCAGTTTCTCAGAAAGCTTCTTACTGGTTGTTCTCTGAAGATATTTCCTTTTTCACAGAAGGCCACATTGTGCTCAAAAATATCCATTCACAGAAACTACAAATACAGTGTTTCCAAACTGCTCCATCAAAAGAAAGGTCTAACTCAATGAGTTGCATGAGCACATCACAAAGCAGTTTCTCAGAAAGCTTCATTCTAGTTTTTGTCTAAAGAGATTTCCATTTTCACCACAGGCCTCAATGTGTTCCAAAATATGCCTTCACAGTTTATACAAAAACAGGGTTAATAAACTGCTCCATCAAAAGAAAGGTTTAACTCTGTGAGATTAATACATGCAACACAAAGCACTTTCTCAGAAAGTTTCTCTCTAGTTTTTCTCTGAAGATATTTCCTTTTCACCATAGGACTCTATGTGCTCCAAAATTTCTCTTCACCAATTATACAAAAACAGTGTTTACAAACTACTCCATCAAAGGAAAGGTTTAACTCTGAGATGAAAGTACACATCAAAAAGCCGTTTCACAGGTATCTTCTGCCTAGTTTTTATCTGAAGATATTTCCCTTTTCACCAGAGGCCTGAAAGCACTCCCAAATATGGCTTCGCAGATTCTACAAATACATTGTTTTCAAACTACTCCTTCAAAGGAAAGGTTTAACTCTGTGAGATAAATGGACACATCATGAAGCCACTTCTCAGAAAGCTTCTTTCATGTTTTTCTCTGAAGATATTTCCTTTTCCACAATAGACCTCAATGAGCTCTGAAATATATCTTTGCAGATTCTACAAATACAGTGTTTCCAAACTGCTCTATCAATAAAGAGGTTTAATTCTGTCAGATGAATGCACACATCACAAAGCAGTTTCTCAGAAAGCTTCGTTCTAGTTTTTGTCTAAAGATAATTCAATTTTCACAATAGGCCTCTAAGCACTCCAACATATACTTTTGCGGTTTATAAAAAAACAGGGTTAACAAATTGCTCCATCAAAAGGAAGGTTTAACTTTGTGAGATGAATGCACACATCACAAAGCAGTTTCTCAAAAAGCTTCTTTCTAGTATTACTCCGAATATATTTATCTTTTCATCCCAGGCTTTAATGCACTCCCAAATATCCCTTTGCAGATTCTACCAAACAGTGACTCCAAACTATTCCATCAAAAGAAAGGTTTAACTGTGTCAGATGAATGCACACATCACCAAGCAGTTTCTCAGAAAGCTTCCTTCTAATTTTTCTCTGAAGATATTTCCATTTTCACAATAGTCCTCAATGCTCTCCCAAATATGGCCTTGCAGATTCTATAAATACAGCGTTTCCAAACTGCTCTATCAAAAGAAAGGTTTAAGTCTGTCAGATGAATGCTCAAATCACAAAGCAGTTTTTCAGAAACTTCTTTTTAGTTTTTCTCTGAAGATATTTCTTTTCACCATTGGCCTCAATGAGCTCCCAAGTATCCCTTCGCAGATTCTACAAATACAGTGTTTACAAACTGCTCCACCAAAAGAAAGGTTTGATTTTGTGAGATGAAAGCATACATCATGAAGCAGTTTCTCAGAAAGCTTCCTTCTAGTTTTTCTCTGAAGATATTTCTCTTTTCACCACAGGCGTCAGTGTGCTAGGAAATATCCCATTGCAGATTCTACACAAACACTGATTCCAAACTGTCCCATTAAAAGAAAGGTTCATCTAGGTGATGTGAATGCACGCATGACAAAGAAATTTTTCAGAAAACTTCTTTTAATTTTTCTCTGAAAATGTTTTTTTAACCATACGCCTCAATGTGCTGCAAAGTCTGCCTTCACAGGTTCTACATATATAGTGTTTACACACTGCTCCAACAAAAAAAAGGCTTAAATGTGTAAGATGAATGCACACATCAGAAAGCAGTTTATGAGAAACATTCTTTATGGTTTTTGTCAAAAGATGTTTCCATTTTCACCATAGGCCTCAATGCCTTCTGAAATATCCCTTTGCAGTTTATACAAAAGCAAGGTAAACAAACAGTTCCATCATAAAATTTTTTAACTCTGTGGTACAAATGCACACATCACAAAGTAGTTTTTCAGAAAGCTTCTTTTTAGTTTTTTCTGAAGATATTTCTTTTCCCCATTGGCCTCAATGAGCTCCCAAGTGTCCCTTTGCAAATTCTACAAATATAGTGTTTACAAACTGCTCCATCAAAAGAAAGGTTTACCTCTGTGAGGTGAATGCACACACCACAAACAGCTTCTCAGAAACCTTCTTTCTAGTTTTGGTCTAAAGATATTTCCAGTTTCACCATAGGCCATAATGCACTCTGAAATATCCCTTTGCAGTTTATACAAAAACAAGGTTAACAAACTATTCCATCAAAAGAAAGGTTTAGCTCTATGAGATGAATGCATACATCACAAACTAGTTTCTCAGAAAGTTTCTTTCTAGTTTTTCTCTGACGATATTTCCTTTTCACCATAGGAATCACTGCGTTCATAAATATCCCTCTGCTGATTATACAAAAAAAAAGTGTTTACAAACTACTCCATCTAAAGAAAGTTTTAAATCTGTGAGATGAGTGCACACATCACAAAGCAGTTTCTCAGAAAGCTTCTATCTGGATTTTATCTGAAGATATTTCCCTTTTCACCATAGGCCTCATGGGTTCCCAAATATGCCTTCGCTGATTCTACAGAAACAGTGTTTCCAAACTGATCAATCAAAAGAAAGGTTTAATTCTGTGAGACTAATGCACACATCATGAACAGTTTCTCAAAAAGCTTCTTTCTAGTTTTCATCCGAAGGTATTTCCTTTTTCAAAATAGGCTTCAATGTGCTCCCAAATATCCCTTCACACATTCTACAAAAACAGTGTTTCCAAACTGATCAATCAAAAGAAAGGTTTAATTCTGTGAGACTAATGCACACATCACAACGCAGTTGTCAGAAAGCCTCTGTCTATTTCCTCTCTGAAGATATATATTTTTCCACCACAGGCCTCATTGCACTCCCAAATATCCATTTGCAGATTCTACCTAAAGAGTGTTTGCAAACAGTCCAATCAAAAGAAGGACTTAACTCTGTGAGATGAATGCACACATCAGAAAGTAGTTTCTCAAAAAGCATCTTTGTAGTCTTTATCCAAAGTCATTTGCTTTTTCAAGATAGGCCTCTTGTGCTCTCAAGAATCCCTTCRCAGTTTGTACAAAAACAGTGTTTCCAAATGGCTCAATAAACAGAAAGGCTTAACTCTGTGAGAAGAATGCACACATCACAAAGTAGTTTCTCAAAATTCATCTTTCTAGTATTTATCCGAAGATATTTCATGTTTCACCATARCCTTCAATGCACTCCCAAATATGCCCTTGCAGATGCTTCAAAACCAGTGTTTCCAAACTACTCAATCAAAAGAAATATTTAACTCTGTGAGAGGAATGCACACATAACAAAGCAGTTTCTCAGAACGCTCCTGTCTAGTTCTTCTCTGAAGATATTTCCTTTTCCACCATAGGCCTAAAAGTGCACCCAAATATCCCCTCGCAGATTCTACTAAAACAGTGTTTCCAAACTGTTCCATCAAAAGACAGATTTAACTCTGTGAGATGAATGCACACATCAGAAAGCAGTTTCTCACAACGCTTCTTTCCAGTTTTTATCTGAAGTTATTTCCTTGTTAAACATAGGCCTTTTTGCACTATTTAACATCACTTGCAGATTATACAAAAACTGTGTTTCCAAACTGCTCAGTCAAAAATATTATTTAACTCTGTGAGATGAATGCATACACCACAAAGTGGTTTCTCAAAAAACTTCTTTCTAGTTTTTATCCAAAGATATTTCCTTTTTCACCATAGGCATCACCGCACTCCCAAATATCCCTTTTCAGTTTTGGCAATAACAGTGTTTTCAAACTGCTCAATGAAAAGAAACGTTTAAGTATCTGAGAAGAATGCACACATCACGAATCAGTTTCTCAGAAAGCTTCTTTCTAGTTTTTATCTGAAGTTATTTCCTTTTTCACTGTAGGCCTCATGCACTCCCCTATAACCCTTCGTAGGTTCTACAAAAAAAGTGTTACAAAACTGATCAATCAAAAGAAAGGTTTAACTCTGTGAGATGAATGCACACATTGCAAGCAGTTTCTCAAAAATATTATTTCTAGCTTTTATCTGAAGATATTTCCTTTTTCAACATAGGCTTCAATGCACTCACAAACATGCCTTCAGAGATTCTAGAAAAACAGTGTTTCAAAACTGCTGAATCAAAAGACACATTTTACTCTGTGAGAAGTATACACCCAACAAAAAGTGTTTTCTCAGAAAGCTTCTTTCTACTTTTTCTCAGTAGTTTTTTTTCACCAAAAACCCCTTTTGCTCCCAAATACACATTTGCAGATTCTACAAGTGTTTCCAAACTGATCAATCAAGGGAAAAGTTTAATTCTTTCATTTGAATGCACACATTGCAAAGCAGTTTCTCAAAAAGCTTCTTTCTAGTTTTTACCTWAAGAAATTCCTTTATCACCATAGGCTTCAAAGTGCTCTAAAATATCCTGTTGAACATTCTACAAAAACAATGTTTCCAAACTACTCAATCAAAAAACACATTTACATCTGTGAGTTTAATGCTCACATCACAAAGCAGTTTCTCAAAAAGCTTCTTTCAAGTTTTTATCCGAAGATATTTCCTTTTTCACAATGGGCCTCAATGCACTCACAACTATACATTTGCAGGTTCTCCAAAACAGTGTTTCCAAATTGCTCAAACAAAAGAAAGGTTTAACTCTGTGAGATGAATGCGCACATCACAAAACCATTTCTCAGATACCTTCTGTCTAGTACTTCTCTGAAGTTATTTCCTTTTCCACCATAGGACTCAATGCACTCCTGAATATCCCTTTGGAGATTCTACGAATCAGTGTTTCTGAACTGTTCCATCAAAGGAAGCATTTAACTCTGAGAGATGAACACACACCTCAGAAACAAGTTCCTTATAACGCTCCTTTCTAGCTTTTATCTGAAGCTATGTCCTTTTTTGCCATAGGCCTTTTTGTGCTACATAACATCGCTTCGCAGGGTATACAAAAGAGTGTTTCCAAACAGCTTAGTCAAAAGAAAAGTTTAACTCTGTGAGTTGAATGCACACATCATCAAGCAGTTTCTCAAAACAATTCTTTCTAGTTTCTATCCGAAGATACTTCCTTTTTCACCATAGGACTCAATGCGTTCCCAAATATCCCATCGCAGATTCTACAAAAACAGTGTTTCCAAACCGCTCAATCATAAGAATTGTTTAGCTCTGTGAGATGAATGCAAACTTCACAAAGCTGTTTATCAGAAAGCTTCTGTCTAGTTCTTCTCTGAAGATGTTTCCTTTTCCACCACTGGCCTCAATACATTACCAAATATCCCTTTGCAGATTCTACAAAAACAGTGTTTCTGAACTGTTCTCTCTAAAGAAGGACTCAACTCTGAGAGCTGAACACACACATCAGGAAGCATTTTCTCATAACGCTTCCTTTCCAGTTTTTGTCTGAATGTATTTTCTTCTTCACCTTAGGCTATTTGGCAGTAACTAGTATTGCATCATAGATTTTGGAAAAACGCTGTTTCCAAACTGCTCAGTAAAAAGAAATGTTTAACTCCCTGAGGTGAATGCAGACATCATAAAGAATTTTCTCAAAAATCTTCTTTCTAGTATTTATCCACATATATTTCCTTTATCAGCATCGATATCAGTGCACTCCCAAATATCCTGTTGCAGATTCTACAAAAACAGTATTTCCAAACTGCTAAATAAAAGAAAGGTTTAACTCTGTGATATGAATACACACATCACAAAGCACTTTCTCAGGAAGCTTCTGTGTAGTTCTTCTCTGAAGATATTTCCTTTTCCACTATAGGCCTCAATGCACTCCCAAATATCCCTCTGCAGATTCCAGAAAAACAGTGTATACACACTGTTCCATGAAAGAAGGATTTAACTCTATGAGATAAACACACATATCAGAAAGTTGTTTCTAATAATGCTTCTTTCCAGTCTTTATCTGAAGGTATTTCCTTGTTAATCATTGGCTGTTTTGCACTATGAAACATCAGTTTGCAGATTATACCAAAACAGTGATTCCAAACGACTCAGTCCAGAGAAAAGTTTAACTCCATGAGATGAATGCATACATCACATAGAAGTTTCTCTGAAAGGTTCTTTCTAGTTTTTATCTGAAGATATTTTCTTTTTCATCATAGGCATCAGTGTGCTTCCAAAGATCCCTTTGCAGATTCTACAAAAACCGTATTTCCAAATGGCTCAATCAAAAGAAATGATTAACTCTGTGAGAAGAAAGCACACATCACAAAGTAGTTTCTCAGAAAGTATATTTCTTGTTTTTATCAGAACTTATTTCCTTTTTCACCATAGGCCTCTTGTGTTCCAAAATATCCCTTCACAGATGCCACAAAAACAGTGTTTCCAAACTTCTTAATCAAAAGAAAGGTTTAACTCTGTGACATTAATGCACACATCACAACGCAGTTGTCAGAAAGCTTCTGTCTAGTTCTTCTCTGAAAGTATTTATTTTTCCACCATAGGCATCAATGCTCTCCCAAATATCCATTTGCAGATTCTACAAAAACAGTGTTTGCAAAAGTCCAATCAAAAGAAGGACTTAATTCTGTGAGATGAATGCACATATCAGAGAGATGTTTCACGTAATGCTTCTTTCCAGTGTTTTTCTGAAGATATTTCCTTGTTCACAATAGGACATTTGCGCTACCAGACATGGTGTCACATATTACACAAAAACAGTGTTTCCAAACTGCTCAGTCAGAAGAAAAGTTTAGCTCTGTGAGATGAATGTATCCATCACCAAACAGTTCCTCAAAGCACTTCTTTCTAATTTTTATCCAAAGATATTTTCTTTTTCACTTTAGGCCTTAGTGAACTCTAAAATATACCTTTGGAGATTCTACAAAAACAGTGTCTCCAAACTGATCAATCAAAAGAGAGGTTTAACTCTGTGAGATAAATGCACATATCACAAAGCACTTCCTCCAAAAGCTTCTTTCTAGTTTTTGTTCAAAGATATTTCCTTTATCACCATAGGCTTAAGTGCCCTCCAAAATAACCCATCACAGGTTCTACAAAAACAGTGTTTCCAAACTACTCATCTAAAAATAGGTTTAATTCTGTGAGATGAGTGCACACATCATAAAGAAGTTTCTCAAAAAGCTTCTTTCTAGCTTTTATCCAAAGATATTTCCTTTTTCACCATATGCCTCAATGTGCTCCCTAATACAACTTTGCAGATTCTACAAAAACAGTGCTTCCAAACTGCTCAATCAAAAGGTAGGATTAACTCTGTGAGATGAACACATACATCAGAATGCAGTTTCTTATAACACTTCTTTCCTGTTTCTATCTGAAGATATTTCCTTGTTCACCAAAGGCTTTTTTTTGCACTACATGATAATGCTTCATGGATTTGGCAAAGAGTGTTTCCAAACTGCTCAGTCAACAGCAATGTTTAACTCTGTGAGATGAATGCACACTTCACAAAGTTGTTTCTCAAAAAGCTTCTTTCTAGTTTTTATCTGAATATATTTCCTTTTTCACCTTAGACCTCAATGTGCTCCCAAATATGCCTTTGCAGATTCTATAAAAACAGTGTTTCTGAACTGTTCCAACAATGAAATATTTCAGTCTGTGAGATTAATATACACATCACAATGCAGTTTCTCATAATGCTTCTTTCCACTTTTTATCTGAAGATATTTCCTTGTTTACTATAGGCCCTTTTGAGATATCTAATATTGCTTTGCACATTATTCAAAATCAGTGCTTCCAAACTGCTCAGTCAAAGGAAAAGTTTACCTCTGTGGGATGAATGCATACATCACATGGCAGTTTCTCAAAAACCATCTTTCTAGTTTTTATCTGAAGATATTTTCTTTTTCACCAGTCATAAGTGTGTGCCCAAATATCCTTTTGTGGATTCTACAAAAACAGTGTTTTCTAACCGCTCAATCAAAATAAATGTTTAACTCTGTGAGAAGAATGCACACATCAGAAAAGCAGTTTCTCAGAAAGCTTCTTGCTAGTTTTTATCTGAAGTTATTTCCTTTTTGAGCATAGGCCTTGCGCACTCCTGAATATCCCTTCACAGATTCTACAAAAACAGTGTTTCCAAATTGTTTCATCAAAAGAAGGACTTAATTCTGTGAGATGAGAGCACACATCAGAAAGCTGTTTCACATAATGCTTCTTTCCACTTTTTATTTGAAGATATTTCCGTTTTCCCCTTAGACTTTTCACGCCACCTAATATTGCTTCACAGATTTTGCCAAAACAGTGTTTCCAAACTGCACAGTCAAAAGAAAGTTTAAACTCTGTGGATGAATGCCCACATGATCAAGCTGTTTCTCAATACAACTCTTTCTTGTTTCCATCCAAAGATATTTCCTTTTTCACCATAGGACTCAATGCATTCCCAAATATCCCATCACAGATTCTACAAAAACAGTCTTTCCAAACCATTGAATCAAAAGTAAGTTTTAGCCCTGTGAGACGAATGCAAACATCACAAAGCAGTTTATCAGAAAGCTTTTGTCTAGTTCTTTTCTGAAGATGTTTCCTTTTCCACCATTGGCCTCAATGTACTCCCACATATCCCRTCACAGATTCTACAAAGAAAGTGTTTCAAAACTGATGTATCAAAAGAGGTTTAACTCTGTGATTTGAAAGCACACATCACAAAGCAGTTTCTCAAAAAGATTCTTTCTAGTTTTTACCTGAAGACAATTCCTTTTTCACCATAGGCCACAGTGCACCCCCAAATATACTTTTGCAGATACTACAAATACGAGGTTTCCAAAGAGCTCAATCAAAAGTAAGTTTTAACCCTGTGAGATGAATGCACACATCACAAAGCAGTTTCTCAGAGAGCTTCTGTCTAATTCTTCTCTGAAGTGGTTTCTTTTTTCATCATAGGCCTCAAAGCACTCCCAAATATCCCTTCACATATTCTACATAAACAGTGTTTCCAAACTGCTCAATCAAAAGAAACGTTTAACTCTGTGAGAAGAATGCACACATCACAAAGCAGTTTCTCAGAAACTTTCTTTCTAGTTTTTATGTGAAGTTAATTCCTTTTTCGTCATAGGCCTCACTGCACTCCCACTTGTCCCTTCGTATATCTTACAATAACAGTGTTTCCAAACTGATACATCCAAAGAAAGGTTTCGCCCTGTGAGATGAATGCACACGTAACAAAGCAGTTTCTCTAAAAGCTTCTTTCTAGCTTTTATCTAAAGATATTCAATTTTTCACCGTAGGGTTCAATGTGTTCCCAAATATCCCTTCACAATTTCTACAAAAACAGTGTTTCCAAATTGCTCAATCAAAAGAAAGTTTGAACTCTGTGGGTTGAATGCACACATCACCAAGCATTTTCTCAGATAGGTTCTGACTAATTCTTGTCTGAAGATATTTCCTTTTCCACCATAGTCTTCAATGTGCTCCCAATAATCCCTTCTCAGATTCTATAAAAACAGTGTTTGCAAACTCTTCCATCAAAAGTAGGACATAACTCTCTGAGATGAACACACATATCAGAAAGCATTTTCCCATAATGCTTCTTTCCACTTTTTTTCTGAAGATAATTCCTTGTTCACCCCAGGCTTTTTAGTGCTAACAAATATCGCTTCACAGATTTTGTAAAAACAGTATTTCCAAACAGCTCAATGAAAAGAAAACTTTAACTCTGTGAGATGAATGCACACATCACAAAGCTGTTTCTCAAAAAGGTTCTTTTTAGTTTTTTCCGAAGATATTTCCTTTTTCACCATAGGCATTAGTGCACTTCTGAATATCCCATTGCAGATTCTACAAAAACACTGTTTCAAAACTGCTCAATCAAAAGAATCATTTAACTCTGTGAGAAGAATGCAGACATCATAAAGCAGTTTCTCAGAAAGCTTCATTTCAGTTTTTATCTGAAGTTATTCCATTTTTCACCATAGGCCTCCTGAGCTCCCAAATATCACTTCACAGATTCTAAAAAAACAGTGTTTCCAACTGCTCAATCAAAAGAAAGGTTTAAATGTGTGAGAGGAATGCACACATCACAAAGCAATTTTTCAGAAATCTTCTGTCTAGTTCTTCTCTTAAGATATTTCCTTTTCCACTATAGGCCTCAATGCACTTGCAAATATCCTTTGGTAGATTCTATAAAAACGGTGTTTCCAAACTGTGTCATCAAAAGAAGGACTTAACTCTGTGAGATGAACGCACACATCAGGATGCAGTTTCTCATAACACTACTTTCCAGTTTTTATCTTTAGATATTTCCTTTTTTGTCATAGGCTTTTTTGCACTACTTATACAAAAACTATCATCTTTCTAAATGGATCAGTCAAAAGAAAGCTTAAAATCTGTGAGATGAAAGCACACATCACAAAGCAGGTACACAAAAAATTTCTTTCTTGTTTATATCTGAAGATATTTCCTTTTTCACCAAAGGCCTAAATGCGTTTTCAAATATCTAATTGAAGATTCTAAAAAAACAGTGTTTCCAACTTGCTCAACCAAAAAAACAGGTTTAACTCTGTGAGTTGAATGCACACATCACAAAGCAGTTTCTTAAAAATTTCTTTTAAATTTTTATCTGAAGGTATTTCCTTTTCCACCATAGGCCTCAACATGCTCCCAAATATCCCTTCGCACACTCCACAAAAACAGTGTTTCCAAACTGTTCCATCAAAAGAAGGAAATAACTCTGTGAGATGAATGCACACATCAGAAAGCAGTTTCTCATAATGATTCTTTCCAGTTTACACATGAAGATATTTCCTTTTTCACCATTGGCTTTTTTGTGCTACTTAAAGTCACCTCACAGATTTTGCAAAAACAGTGTTTTCAAACTCCTCAATCAAAAGAAAGGTTTAACTCTGTGAGATGAATGGTCACATCACAAAGCAGTTTCTCAGAAAGTTTCTTTCTCATTTTTACCCAAAGATATTTCCTTTTTCACCAAAGGCATCAGTGTGCTCCCAAATATCCATTTGCAGATTCTACAAAAACAGTGATCCAAACTCTTCAATCAAAAGAAACGTTTAACTCTGTGAGAAGAATGCACACATCACAAAGCAGTTTCTAATAATGCTTCTTTCCAGTTTTTTCCTTTTTCACCATAGGCCTCGTGTGCTCCCAAATATCCCTTTGCAGACTCTACAAAAGCACAGTTTCCAAACTGATCAATCAAAAGAAATTTTTAAATCTGTGAGATGAATGCACTCATCACAAAGCAGTTTCTCAAAAACTTTCTTTCTAGTTTTTATCAGAAGATATTTCCTTTATCACCATAGGCTTCAATACACTCCAAAATATCCCATTTCAGATTCAACAAAAACAATGTTTCCAAAATGCTCAATCAAAACCCAGATCTTACTCAGTGAGTTGAATGCACACATCACATAGCAGCTTCTCTAAAATTGTCCTGGTAGTTTTTATCTGAAGATATTTAATTTTCTCCTTAGGCCTCAGTGCACTCCAAAATACACCTTTGAAGATTCTACAAAAAGAGTGTTTCCAAACTGCTCAATCAAAAGAAAGTTTTAACTCTTTGAGATGAATACATACATCACAAAGCAGTTTCTCAGTTAGCTTCTGTCTAGTTCTTCTCTGAAGATATTTCCTTTTCCACCATAAGCCTCAATGCACTCCCTAATATCACTTTGCAAATTCTACAAAAACAGTGTTTCCAAACTGTTCCATCAAAAGGAGGACTTAACTGTGTGAGACGAACTCTCATATCAGAGAGCAGTTTCTAGTAACACTTCTTTCCAGGTTTTATCTGAAGATATTTCCTTTTTCACCATAGGGTTTTTTGTGCTAATTAGTATTGCTTTGCAGATTCTGCAAAAGCGCGGTTTCCAAACAGCTCAGTCAAATGAAAGGTTTAAATCAGTCAGGTGAATGCACACATCACAAAGCAGTTTCTCAAAAAACTTCTTTCTAGTATTTATAAAAAGATATTTCATTTATCACCATAGGCTTCAATGCGCTCCCAAATACCCCACTGCAGATTCTACCCAGTTTACAAACTTCTCACTCTAAAACAGATTCAGCTGTGTGAGTTGAATGCACTCATCACAAAGCCATTTCTCAAAAAGCTTCTTTCTAGTTTTTATCTGAAAATATTCCCTTTTTCACCGTAGGCCTCAGGGTGCTCTCAAATATACTTTTGCAGATTCTACAAAAACCGTGTTTCCAAACTGCTCAATCAAAAGAAACGTTTAAATCTGTGAGATGAATGCACACATCACAAGGCAGTTTTCCAGATATATTCTGTCTAGTTCTTCTCTGAAGATATTCCCTTTTCCACCGTAGGCCTCATTGCACCCCCAAATATCCTTTTGCAGATCCCATAAAAAAGTGTTTCTGAACAGTTCCACCAAAAGAAGGACAACTCTGTGAGATGAACGCACACATCAGAAAACAGGTACTCATAACACTTCTTTTCAGTTTTTATCAGAAGATATTTCCGTATTCACCATAGGCCTTTTTGCACTACATAATATCACTTTGCATATTACACAAAAGCAGTGCTTCCAACCAGCTCAATTAAAAGATACATTTAAATCTATGAGAAGAATGAAAAAGCACTTTCTCAAAAAGCTTCTTTCTAGTTTTAATCTGAAGATATTTCCTTTGTCACTCTAGCTTCAATGCACTCCCAAATATCCCTTTGCCAGATCCTATAAAAACAGTGTTTTATGAATTGTTCTATCAAAAGTATTTATCTATGTGAGATGAATGCACATATCAGAAAGTAGTTTCTCATAATGCTTCTTTCCAGTTTTTGTCTGAAGATATTTCCTTATGATAGAACTTTTTGTGCTAACAAATATCTATTTGCAGATTACACAAAAACAGGGTTTCCAAACTAAGAAGAAAAGTTTAACTGTGTGAGAAGAATGCATGCATCACAAAGAAGTTTCTCAAAAAGATTTTTTCTAGTTTTTATCTGAAATTATTTCCTTTCCCACCATAGGCATCATTGTGATTCCAAATATCCCTTTGCAGATTCTAAAAAAAAAACAGTGTTTCCAAACTGCTCAATCAAAAGTAACATTTAACTCTCTAAGAAGAATGCACACATGACAAAGTGGCTTCTCAGAAACCTTATTTCTAGTTTTTATCTCTAGTTATTTCCTTTTTAAATATAGGCCACGTGTGCTTCCAAATAATCCGTTGCAGATTCTTCAAAAACAGTGTTTCCAGACTGATCAATCAAAAGAAATGTTTAACTCTGTGAGAAGAATGGACACATCACAAAGTGGTTTCTCCAAAAGCTTCTATTTAGTTTTTATCTGAAGAGATTTCTTTTTTGATCATAGGCCTCCTGTGCTCCAAATATCCCTTCACAGATTCTACAAAAACAGTGTTTTCATTCTGATCAATCTAAAGAGAGTTTTAACTCTGTGTGATCAATGCACTAATCACCAAGCAGTTTCTCAGATACCTTCTGTCTTCTTTGAAGATATTTCATGTTCCACCATAGGCCTCAATGCACTCCCAAATATCCCTTTGCAGATTCTACGAAAACAGTGTTCACAAACTGCTCAATCAAAAGAAAGGTTTAACTCTTTGAGATGAATGCACACATCACAAAGCAGTTTCTCAGAAAACTTCAGTCTATTTCTTCTCAGAAGACATTGCCTCTTCCAATATAGGCCTCCAGGTACTCTCATATATCCCTTCAAAGGTTCTACAAAAACAATGTTTCCAAACATTTCCATCAAAAGAAGGAGTTAACTCTGTAACATGAATGCACACATCAGAAAGCAGTTTCTCATAATGCTTCTTTCCAGTTTTTATCTGAAGATGTTTCCTTTATCACCACAGGCTTAATGTGCTCTCAAATATCTCATCACAGATTATGCTAAAAGAGTGTTTCCATACTGCTCAATCAGAAAACATGTTTAACTCTTTGAGTGGGATGCAAACATCGGAAAACAGTTTGTCAGAATCGTTCTTTCTAGTTTTTTCCAAAGATATTTCCTATTTCACTATAGTCTTCGTGTTTTCCGAAACATCCCTTCGCAGATTCTACAAAAACAGTGTTTCCAATCTGATCATTCAAAAGAAAAGTTTTTCTCTGTGAGATGAATGGACACATCACAAAGCAGTTTCCCAAAAAGCTTCTTTCAAGTTGTTATCTGGAGATATTCCCTTTTCCACCATATGCCTCAATGCACTCCCAAATATCCCTTCATGGATTCTATAAAAACACCGTTTCCAAACTGTTCCACAAAAAGAATGATTTAACTCTGTGAGACGAATGCACACCTCACAAAGCAGTTTCTCAGAAATCTTCTTTCTGGTTTTTATCTGAAGTTATTTCCTTTTTCACCATAGCCCTTGTGCACTCCAAAATATCCCTCACAAATTCTGCAAAAAGAGTGTTCCCAAACTGATCATCAAAAGAAAGGTTTAACTCTGTGAGATGAATACACACATCACAAAGCAGTTTCTCCAAAACTTCTTTCTGCTGTTTATCTGAAGATATTTCCTTTTTCACCACAGGCTTCAATGGGCTCTGAAATATCCCTTTGCGGATTCTACAAAAACAGTGCTTCCCAACTGCCCAATCAAAAGAAATGTTTAACCCTGTGAGATGAATGCACATTTCACAAAGCAGTTTCTCCTAAAGCTTCTGTCTAGCTCTTTTTTGAAGATATTTCCTTTTCCATCATAGGCGTCAATGCATTCTCAAATATCAATTTGCTTATTTGACAAAAAAATGTGTTTCCAAACTGTTCCATCAAAAGAAAGACTTAACTCTTTGAGATGAATGCACACATCAGAGAGTTGTTTCTCATAACACTTCTTTCCAGTTTTTATCTGAAGATACTTACTTTTTCACCACATGCTTTTTTGGGCATCCTAATATTGCTCACGGTTTTTGCAAAAACAGTGTTTCCAAACTGTTCACACAAAAGAAAGATTTAAGTCTGTGAGATGAATGCACAGATCAGAAAGCAGTTTCCCAAAAATCTTCTTCCTAGTTTTTATCTGAAGATATTTCCTTCTCCACTATAGACATCAGTGCACTCCCAAATATCCCTTTGCAGATTCTACAAAAATATTGTTTCCAAACTGCTCAATCAAAAGAAATGGTTAACTCTGTGACAAGAATGCACACATCACAAATCGGTTTTTCTAGTTTTTATCTGAAGTTATTTCCTTTTTCACCATAGACCTCATATGCTCCCAAATATCACATCACAGATTCTAAAAAAATAGTGTTTACAAACTGATCAATCAAAAGAAAGGTTTACCTCTGTGAGATGAATGCACGTTTCATAAAGGAGTTTGTCAAAATGTTTCTTTCTAGTTTTTATCCAAAGATATTTCCTTTTTCACTGTAGGCCTCAATGTGCTCAGAAATATCCCTTCACAGTTTCTACAGAAACAGTGTTTCCAAACTGCTCAATCAAAAGAAATCTTTACCTCTGTGAGAAGAATGCACATATCACAAACCAGTTTCTCAAACAACTTCTTTCTAGTTTTTATCTGAAGATATTTCATTTTTCACCACAATCTTCAATGTGCTCCAAAATATCCCTTTGTAGATTCTTCAAAAACAGGGTTTCCAACCTGCTCAATAAAAAGAAAGGTTTACCTCTGTGACAAGAATGCACACATCACAAAACAGTTTCTCAAAAAGCTTCTTTATAGTTTTTATCCAAAGAAATTTCCTTTTTCACCATAGGCTTCAATTCACTCCCAAATATCCCTTCACAGATTCTACAAAAACAGCATTTCCAAACTGCTCAATCAAAAGAATCATTAAACTCTGTAAAATGAATGCACATATCAAAAAGCAATTGCTCAGAAAATTTCTTTCTAGTTTGAATCTTAAGATATTTCCTTTTTCAGCATAGGTCTCAATGAGCTCCCAAATATCCCCTTGCAGATTCTAGAAGAACAGATTTTCAAAACTGCTCAATAAAAAAAAGGTTTAGCTCTGTGAGATGAAGGCACACATCACAAAGCAGTTTCTCAGAAACCTGTATAGTTTGTATCAGAAGATATTTCCTTTTTCGCTGTATGTCTCAAGGCAAATCCAAATATCCCTTCGCAGATTGTACAAAGATTGTGCCTTCAAACTGCTCAATCACAAGAATGGTTTAAATCTGTGAGACGAATGCACAGATAACACAGCAGTTTCGAAGGAAGATCCTTTCTAGTTTTTAAGTGAGGATATTTCCTTTTTCACCAAAGGCCTCAAAGCGCTCAAAATATCGCTTTGCAGATCCCAGAAAAACAGTGGATCCAAACTGCTCAATCAAAAGAATGGTTCAACTCTTAGAGGAATCCACATATCACAAAGAACTTTCTCAGAAAGATTCTTTCTAGTTTTTATGTGCAGATATTTCCTTTTTCATCATAGGCCTCAAAATGCTCCCAAATATCTGCTTAGAGATTCCACAAAAACAATGGTTCCAAACTGCTCAATCAAAAGAATGGTTCAATTCTGTGAGTTGAATTCACACATCACAAAGCAGTTACTCAGAAAGCTTCTGTGTAATTTGATTCAGAAGATACTTCATTTTTCACCACCAGCCTCCATGTGCATCCAAATATTCCTTCACACATTCTACAAACACTGTGTTTCCAAACTGCTCAATCAAAAGTATGGTTAAACTCTGTGAGATGAATGCACACCTCACAAAGCAGTTTCTCAGAAACCTTCTGTCTGGTTTGTATGAGAAGATCTTTCCTTTTAGACCACAGGCCTCACTGTGAATCCCAATATCCCTTCGCATATTCTACATTGTGTTTCCAAACTGGTCAATGAAAAGAAAAGTTTACCTCTGTGACATGAATGCACACATCACAAAGCAGTTTCTCAGAAAGCTTCTGTCTAGTTTGTATCAGAAGATATTTCCTTTGTCAACATAAGCCTCAAGGTGAACCCAAATACCCCTTTGCAGATTCTGCAAACACTGTGTTTCCAAATTGTTCACTCAAAAGAATGGTTTAACTATGTTAGATGAATGTGCACATCACAAAGCAGTTTCTAAGAAAGCTCCTTTCTAATTTTTATGTGAGAATATTTCCTTTTTCACTGTAGGCCTCAAAGTGCTCACAAATATCCCTTTTCAGATTCCAGAAAAACAGTGGTCCCAAACTGCTCAATCAAAAGCGTGGTTCAACTCTGTTAGACGAATGCACACATCACAATGCAGTTTCTCAGAAAGCTTCTTTCTAGTTTTTATGTGAAGGTAAGTCCTTTTTCACCGAAGGCCTCCAAGCGCTCCAAGGGATACCTTTGCAGATTCTACAAAACAGTGATTCTAAAGTGCTCAATCAAAAGAATGGTTCAACTGCATGAGATGAATGCACACATCAGAAAGCATTTTCTGAGAAAGCTTCTGTCTAGTTTGTATCGGAAGATATTTCCTTTTTCACCACAGGCCTCCATGCGAATCAAAATATCCCTTCGCAAATTCCACAAACACTGTGTTTCCAAACTGCTCAATCAAAAGAATGGTTAAACTCTGTGAGATGAATGCACACATCACAGAGAAATTTCTCAGAAACTTTCTTTCTATTTTGTATCAGAAGATATTTCCTTTTTTCACCATAGGCTTCAGTGCACCCCTAAATATCCTTTTGCAGATTCTAGAATTACAGAGTTTCCAAAGATCTCAATGAAAACAAGCGTTTTCCTCTGTGAGATGAATGCACACGTCACAAAGCAGTTTATCAGAAAGCTTCTGTCTAGTTTATATCAGAAGATATTTCCTTTGTCAACATAGGCATCATGGTGAATCCAAATACTCCTTCACAGATTCTGTGAACACTGTTTCCAAACTACTCACTCAACAGAATCATTTAACTCTGTTACATGAATGTGCACATCACAAAGCAGTTTCTAAGAAAGCTCCTTTCTAGTTTTTCTGTGAGGATACTTCCTTTTTCACTGTAGGCCTCAAAGCACTCAAAAATATCCCTTCTCAGATTCTAGAAAAACAGTGGTACCAAACTGCTCAATCAAAAGCGTGGTTAAACTCTGTTAGAGGAATGAACACGTCACAAAGCAGTTTCTCAGAAAGCTTCTTTCTAGTTTTTATGTAAAGATATTTCCTTTTTAACCATAGGCCTCAAAGCTCTCCCAAATATCCCTTTGCAAATTCTGCAAAATGAGTGGTTCCAAACTGCTCAATCAAAAGAATGGTTCAACTCTGTGAGGTGAATGCACACATCACAAAGCAGTTTCTCAGAAAGTTTCTGTCTAGTTTGTATTGTAAGATATATCCTTTTTCACCACAGGGCTCCATGTGAATCCAAATATCCCTTCAAACATTCTACAAACACTGTGTTTCCAGACTTCTCCATCAAAAGAATGGTTAAACACTTTGAGATGAATGCAGACATCACAAAGCAATTTCTCAAAAACTTTCTTTAGAGTTTGTATCTTAGAACACTTCCTATTTCACCATAGGCCTCAATGCTCTCCTAAATATCCCTTTGCAGATTCTAGAAAAACAGTTTCCAAACTGCTCAAAGAAAAGAAACATTTAAACCTGTGAGATGAATGCACACATCACAAAGCAGTTTCTCAGAAAGCTTCTGTCTAGTTTGTATCGGAAGATATTTCTTTCTTCACCACAGGCCTCCATGCAAATCCATATATCCCTTCACAGATTTTACAAACATTGTGTTTGCAAACTGCTCAATCAAAAGAATGGTGAAACACTGTGAGATGAATGTAAACTTCCCACAGCAATTTCTAAGAGACTTTCTTTCTAGTTTATATCAGAAGATATTTCCTTTTTCACTGTAGGCCTCAATGCACTCCAAAATATCCTGTTGAAGATTCTAGAATTACATAGTTTCAAAACTGGTCAATTAAAAGAGACGTTTAAATTTGTGAGATGAATGCACACAACAGAAGCAGTTTCTCAGAAAGTTTGTGTCTAGTTAGTATCAGAAGATATTTTCTTTGTCACCATAGGCCTAAAGGCAAATCAAAATATCCCTTTGCAGATTCTACAAACACTGTGTTTCCAAACTGCTCAATCAAAAGAATGGCTTAACTCTGTGAGACAAATGCACACATCACAAAGCAGTTTCTAAGAAAGCTCCTTTCTAGTTTTTCTGTGAGGATATTTCCTTTTTCACCAAGTGCCTCAAAGAGCTGAAAAATCTCTCTTTGCACACCTAGAAAAACAGTGGTTCCAAACTACTCAATCAAAAGCATGGTTCAAATCTGTTAGAGGAATGCACACATCACAAAGCAGTTTCTCAGAAAGCTCCCTTCTAGTTTTTATGGGAACATATTTCCTTTTTAACCGTAGGCCTCAAAGCACTCCCAAATATCCATTTGCAGATTCTGCAAAAAGAGTGGTTCCAAACTGCTCACTCAAAAGAGTGGTTCAACTCTGTGAGATGAATGCACACATCACAAAGCAGTTTCTCAGAAAGCTTCTGTCTAGTTTATATAGGAAAATATTTTGTTTTTCACCACAGGGCTTCATGCGAACCCAAATATTCCTTCGCACATTCTATGAACACTGTGTTTCCAAACTGCTCAACCAGAAGAATGCTTAAGCTCTTTGAGAGGAATGCACACATCACAAAGAAATTTATCAGAAACTTTCTTTCTGATTTGTACCTTAAGATACTTCCTTTTTCACAATAGGCCTCAGTGCTCTCCCAAATATCTCTTTGCAGATTATAGAAGAACAGAGTTTCCAAACTGTTCAATGAAAATAAACACTAAACACTGTGAGATAAATGCACACATCAAATAGCAGTTTCTCAGAAAGCTTCTGTCTAGTTTGTATCAGAAGATATTTCCTTTTTTCACCACAGGCCTCCATGTGAATCGAAATATCCCTTTGCAGATTCTACAAACACTGTTTCCAAACTGCTTAATCAAAAAAATGGTTAAACACTGTGAGATGAATGCACACATCAAAAGGATATTTCTCAGAGACTTTCTTTCTAGTTTGTATCAGAAGATATTTCTTTTTTCGCAATAGTCCTCATTACTCTCCAAAATATACCTTTGAAGATTCTAGAATTACAGAGTTTCAAAACTGCTCAATGAAAAGATATCTTTAGACCCATGAGATGAATGCACACATCACAAAGCAGTTGCTCAGAAAGCTTCTGTCTAGCTTTGTATCAGATGATATTCCTTTTATTACCACAGACATCCAGACCATTCCAAATATCCCTTCGCAGATTCTACAAATGCTGCATTTCCCATCTGCTCAATCAAAAGAATGGGTTAACTTTGTGAGTCGAATGAACACACCACAAAGCATTTTCTAAGTGAGCTCCTTTTAGTTTTTATCTGAGGATATTTCCTTTTTCAACATAGGCCTCAAAGCACTCACAAACATACCTTTACAGATTCTAGAAAAACAGTTGTTCCAAACTGCTCAATCAAAAGCGTGGTTCAACTCTGTTCTAGCAATGCACACATCACAAAGCAGTTTTTCAGAATGCTTCTTCCTAGTTTTTAGGTGAAGATATTTCCTAATTCACCATAGGCCTCAAAGCACTCAAAAATATACCTTTGCAGATTCTACAAGACCAGCTTTTCCAATCTGCTCAATTAAAAGAAACGTTTACCTCTGTGAGATGAATGCACACATCACAAGCAGTTTCTCAGAAACCTTCTGTATAGTTTTTATGTGAAGATATTTCTGTTTTCACCATAGGCCTCAGAACGCTCCCAAATATCTCTTTGCAGATTCTACAAAAAGACTGTTCCCAAACTGCTCAATCAAAAGAAAGGTGCAACTCTGTGAGATGAATGTATGCATCACAAAGAAGTTTCTCAGAATCCTTCTGTCTAGTTTTTAATGTGAAGACATTTCCTTTTTCACCACAGGCAGAAAAACGCTCACAAACATCCCTTTGCAGATTCGACAAGAACAGAGTTTCCAATCTGCTCTATGAAAAGAAACATTTACCTCTGTGAGATGAATGCACACATCACAAAGCAGATTCTCAGAAACCTTCTGTCTCATTTTTATGTGAAGATATTTCCTTTGTCACCTAAGGTCTCAAAGTGATCACAAATATCCCCTTGCAGATTCTACAAAAAGAATGTTTCCAAACTGCTCAATCAAAAGAAAGGTTCTACTCTGTGAGATGAATGCACACATCACAAAGAAGTTTCTCAGAAAGCTTCTGTCTAGTTTTTATGTGAAGACATTTCCTTTTTCACCATAGGCCTAAATGCGCTCACAAATATCCCTTTGCAGAATCTACAAGAACAGAGTATCCAATGTGTTCAATGAAAAGAAACGTTTACCTCTGTGAGTTGAATGCACACTTCAAAAAGTGGTTCCTCAGAAGCCTTCTGTCTAGTTTTTATGTGAAGATATTTCCTTTTTCACCAGAGACCTCAAAACTATCACAAATATCCCTTTGCAGATTCTACAAAAAAACTGTTTCCAAATTTCTCAATCAAAAGAAAGGTTCTGCTCTGTGAGATGAATGCACACATCACAAAGAAGTTTCTCAGAAAGCTTCTGTCTAGTTTTTATGTGAAGATATTTCCTTTTTCACCATATGCCTCAAAGGGCTCCAAACTATTGCTTTGCAGATTCTACAGAAAGACTGTTTCCAAACTGGTCAATCAAAAGAAAGGTTCAACTCTGTGAAATGAATGCACACATCAAGAAGAAGTTTCCCAGAAAGCTTTTTTCTAGTTTTTATGTGAAGATATTTCCTTTTCCACCATAGGCCTCAAAGCACTCACAAGTATCCCATCACAGATACTACAAAATGACTTTCCAAACTGCTCAATCAAAAGAAAGGTTCAACTCTGTGAGACAAATGCATGCATCACAAAGAAGTTCGTCAGAAAGTTTCTATCTATTGAGAAGTGTCTGTTCATGTCCTTCGCCCACTTTTTGATGGGGTTGTTTGTTTTTTTCTTGTAAATTTGTTTGAGTTCATTGTAGATTCTGGATATTAGCCCTTTGTCAGATGAGTAGGTTGCAGAAATTTTCTCCCATTTTGTAGGTTGCCTGTTCACTCTGATGGTAGTTTCTTTTGCTGTGCAGAAGCTCTTTAGTTTAATTAGATCCCATTTGTCAATTTTGGCTTTTGTTGCCATTGCTTTTGGTGTTTTAGACATGAAGTCCTTGCCCATGCCTATGTCCTGAATGGTAATGCCTAGGTTTTCTTCTAGGGTTTTTATGGTTTTAGGTCTAACGTTTAAGTCTTTAATCCATCTTGAATTGATTTTTGTATAAGGTGTAAGGAAAGGATCCAGTTTCAGCTTTCTACATATGGCTAGCCAGTTTTCCCAGCACCATTTATTAAATAGGGAATCCTTTCATCATTGCTTGTTTTTCTCAGGTTTGTCAAGGATCAGATAGTTGTAGACATGCAGCGTTATTTCTGAGGGCCCTGTTCTGTTCCATTGATCTATATCTCTGTTTTGGTACCAGTACCATGCTGTTTTGGTTACTGTAGCCTTGTAGTATAGTTTGAAGTCAGGTAGTGTGATGCCTCCAGCTTTGTTCTTTTGGCTTAGGATTGACTTGGTGATGCAGGCTCTTTTTTCGTTCCATATGAACTTTAAAGAAGATATTTATGCAGCCAAAAAACACATGAAAAAATGCTCATCATCACTGGCCATCAGAGAAATGCAAATCAAAACCACAATGAGATACCATCTCACAATAGTTAGAATGACAATCATTAAAAAGTCAGGAAACAACAGGTGCTGGAGAGGATTTGGAGAAATAGGAACACTTTTACACTGTTGGTGGGACTGTAAACTAGTTCAACCATTGTGGAAGCCAGTGTGGAGATTCCTCAGGGATCTAGAACTAGAAATACCATTTGACCCAGCCATCCCATTACTGGGTATATACCCAAAGGACTATAAATCATGCTGCTATAAGGACACATGCACACATATGTTTATTGCGGCATTGTTCACAATACCAAAGACTTGGAACCAACCCCAATGTCCAACAATGATAGACTGGATTAAGAAAATGTGGCACATATACACCATGGAATACTATGCAGCCATAAAAAATGATGAGTTCATGTCCTTTGTAGGGACATGGATGAAATTGGAAATCATCATTCTCAGTAAACTATCGCAAGAACAAAAAACCAAACACCACATATTCTCACTCATAGGTGGGAATTGAACAATGAGATCACATGGACACAGGAAGGAAAATATTACACTCTGGGGACTGTTGTGGGGTGGGGGTAGGGGGGAGGGATAGCATTGGGAGATATACCTAATGCTAGATGATGAATTAGTGGGTGCAGCGCACCAGCATGACACATGTATACATATGTAACTAACCTGCAGAATGTGCACATGTACCCTAAAACTTAAAGTATAATTTAAAAAAAGAAAATAAAATTTCTATCTAGTTTTTATGGGAAGATATTTCCTTTTTCAACATTGTCCTGAAAGCACTCACAAATATCCCTTTGCAGATTCTACAAGAACAGAGTTCCCAATCTGCTCAATGAAAAGAAACGTACACCTTTGAGAGATGAATGCACACATCAGAAACAGATTCTCAGATACCTTCTGTATAGTTTTCATGTGAAGATATTTCCGTTTTCACTGTAGGCTTCAAAGTGCTCACAAATATATCTTTGGAGATTCTAGAAGGAGATAATTTCCAATCTGCACAATGAAAAGAAAAGTTTACCTCTGTGAGATGAATGCACACTTCACAAAGCAGTTTTTCAGAAGCCTTCTGTCTACTTTTTATGTGAAGATATTTCCTTTTTCACCAGAGGTCTCAAAGCGATCACAAATATCCCTTTGCAGATCCTACAAAAAGACTGTTTCCAAACTGCTCAATCAAAAGAAAGGTTCAAGTCTGTCACATGAATGCACCCATCACAAAGAAGTTTCTCAGAAGGCTTCTGTCTACTTTTTACATGAAGCTATTTCGTTTTTGCCATATGCCTCTAAGGGCTCAAAAATATACTTTGCAGATTCTACAAGAAGACTGTTTCCAATCTGCTCAATCAAAAAAAGGTTCTACTCTGTGAGATGAATGCACACATCACAAAGATGTTTCCAGGAAAGCTTCTATCTAGTTTTTATATGAAGATATTCCCTTTTTCACCATAGGCCTCACAGGGATCCAACATACACCCTTGCAGATTCTACAAGAAGACTGTTTCCAAACTGCTCCATCAAAAAAAAGTTTCAACTATGAGAGGTGAATGAACACATGACAACGAATTTTTCCAGAAAGCCTCTGTCTAGTTTTTATGGGAAGATATTGCCTTTTTCACCACAGGCCAAAAAGTGCTCACAACTAACACCTTGTATATTCTACAAAAAGACTGTTTCCAAACTGCTCAATCAAAAGAAAAGTTGACCTCTGTGAGATGAATAAACACTTCTCAAAGACGTTTCTCAGAAGCCTTCTGTCTAGTTTTTATGTCAAGATATTTTCTTTTTCACCATAGGCCTCAAAGCCCAGAGAAATATCCCTTTGCAGATTCTACATAAAGACTGTTTTCAAACTGCTCAACAAAAAGATAGGTTCAACTCTGTGAGACGAAAACCCACATCACAAAGAAGATTCTCTGAAAGCTTCAGTATAGTTTTTATATAAAGACACTTTCTTTTCCACCATAGACCGCAAAGCATGCACAAATATCCCTTTGCAGATTCTACAAAAAGACTGTTTCTAAACTGCTGAAACAAAAGAAAGGTTCAACTCTGTGAGATGGATGCACACATCACAAAGCGGTTTCTAAGAAAACTTTTGTCTAGTTTTTATGTGAAGACTTTTCGTTTTTTACCGTAAGTCTCAAAACTCTCACAAACATCCCTTTGCAGATTTTACAAGAACAGAATTTCCAGTCTGCTCAATGAAAATAAATGGTTACCTCTGTGAGATGAATGCACATATCAAGTTTCTCAGAAACCTCCCTTCTAATTTTTATGTGATGATATATCCTTTTTCACCATAGGCCTCAAAGCACTCACAAATACCCCATAGCAGATACTTCAAGAAGACTATCTCCAAAGTGCTAAATCAAAAGAATATTTCAACTCTTTGAGATGAATGGACACATCACAAAGAAGTTTCTCGGAAATATTCTTTGTAGTTTTTATGTGAAGATATTTCATTTTTCACCATTGGCCTCAAACTGCTCACAAATATCCCTTTGCAGATTTTACAAAAAGACTGTTTCCAAACTGCTCAATCAAAAGAAAGGTTCAAATCCGTTAGATGAATACACACATCACAAAGAAGTCTCTCAGAATGCGTCTGTCTGCTTTTTATGTGAAGATATTTCTTTTTCACCATGGGCCTCAAACCGCTCAGAAATATACCTTTGGAGATTCTACAAAAAGACTGTTTCCAAACTGCTCAATAAAAAGAAAGTTTCAACTCTGTGAGATGAATGCACGCATCACTAAGAAGTTTCCCAGAAAGCTTCTGTCTAGTTTTCATGTGAAGATATTCCCTTTTTCACCATACGCCCCAAACTGCTCAGAAATAGTCTTTTGCAGATTCTAGTAAAAGACTGTTTCCAAACTGCTCAATCAAAGAAAGCTTTAACTCTGTGAGATGAATGCACGCATCACAAAGAAGTTTCTCAGAAAGCTTCTGTCTAGTTTTTATGTGAAGATATTTCCTTTTTCTCCACAGCCTTCAAAGGGTTCCCAAATATCCCTTTGCAGATTCTACTAAAAGACTGGTTCCTAACTGCTTAATCAAAAGAATGTTTCAACTTTGTGAGATGAATGTGTGGAACACAAAGAAGTTTCTCAGAAAACTTCTGTCTAGTTTTCATATGAAGATATTTCCTTTTCCATCATAAGCCTGAAACTGCTCAGAAATATACCTTTGCAGATTCTACAAAAAGACTGTTTCCAAACGGCTCAATCAAAAGGGATGTTTAACTCTGTGAGATGAATGCACTCATCACAAAGGCGTTTCTCACAAAAGC
>NC_000010.11:39338450-39341685 GCF_000001405.40 Homo sapiens
CACATCACAAAGAAGTCTCTCAGAATGCGTCTGTCTGCTTTTTATGTGAAGATATTTCTTTTTCACCATGGGCCTCAAACCGCTCAGAAATATACCTTTGGAGATTCTATAAAAAGACTGTTTCCAAACTGCTCAATAAAAAGAAAGTTTCAACTCTGTGAGATGAATGCACAGATCACAAAGAAGTTTCTCAGAAAGCTTCTGCCTAGTTTTTATATGAAAATATTTCCTTTTCCACCATGGGCCTCAAAGCATTCACAAATATCCCTTTGCAGGTTCCACAAGAACACAGTTTCCAATCTGCACAGTGAAAAGAAATTTTTACATCTGTGAGATGAATGCCCACTTGACAAAGCAGTTTTTCAGAAGCCTTCTGTCAACTTTTCATGTGAAGATATTTCCTTTTTCACCAGAGGTCTCAAAGAGATCAGAAATATCCCTTTGCAGATTCCTCAAAAAGACTGTTTCCAAACTGCTCAATCTAAAGAAGGGTTCAACTCTGTGAGACGAATGCCACATTACAAATGAGTTTCTCTGAAATATTCTGTCTAGTTTTTATGTGAAGATATTTTCTTTTTCACCATAGGCCTCAACGTGCTCACAAATATCCCTTTGCAGATTCTACAAGAAGAGAGGTTCCTGTCTGCTCAGTGAAAAGAAACATTTATGTCTGTGAGATGAATGCACACTTTCCAAAGTATTTTCTCAGAAGCCTTCTGTCTAGTTTTTATGTGAAGATATTTCCTTTTTCAACAGAGGTCTCAAATTGATCACAAATATACTTTTGTAGACACAAAAAGACTGTTTCCAAACTGCCCAATTGGAAGAAAGGTTGAACTCTGTGAGATGAATGCACACATCACAAAGAAGTTTCTCAGAAAGCTTCTGTCCAATTTTTATGTGAAGATATTTCCTTTTTCACCATGTGCCTCAAAGGGCTCCAAAATATCCCTTTGAAGACTCTAAAAAAAGACTGTTTCTAAACTGCTCAATCAAAAAGAAGTTTCGATTCTGTTAGGTGAATGAACACATCACAAAGAAATTTCCCAGAATGTTTCTGCCAAGTTTTTATGTGAAGATATTTCCTTTTTCACCAAAGGCCTCAAACCGTTCAGAGATATCCCTTTAGCTGATTCTACAAAAAGAGTTTTTCCAAACTGATCAATCAAAAGAAAGATTCAACTGTGTGAGATGAATTCACGCATCACAAAGGAATTTCTCAGAAAGGTTCTGTATAGTATTTACTTGAAGACATTTCCTTTTTCACCTTAGGCCTTAAGCACCATCAAATATCCCTTTGCATATTCTACAAAAAGATTGTTTCCAATCTGCACAATGAAAAGAAAGGTTCAACTCTCTGAGATGAATGCAGGCATTACAAAGAAGTTTCCCAGAATGCTTCTGTCTAGTTTTTATGTGAAGATATTTCCTTTTTCACCATAGGCCTCAAAGTGCTCCAAATATCCATTTGCAGATTTTACAAAAAGACTGTTTTGAAACTGCTCAATCAAAAGAAAGTTTCAACTCTGTGAGATGAAAGCATACATCACAAAGTAGCTTCTGAGAAATTTTCTGTGTGGTTTTTGTGTGAAAATATTTCCTATTTCACCGTAGGCAATAAAAGGCTCACAAATATCGCTTTGAAGATTCTACAAAAGGACTCTTTCCAAACTACTCAATCAAAAGAATGGTTCAACTCTGTGAGATGAATGCACGCATCACAAAGAAGTGTCTCAGAATGCTTCTGTCTAGTTTTTATGTCAAGATATTTCCTTTTTCACCATAGGCCTCAAAGGCCTCCCAAATATCCCTTTGCAGATTCCACAAAAAGACAGTTTCCAAACTGCTCAATCAAAAGAAAGGTTCAACTCTGTAAAAAGAATGCACACATCAGAAAGAAGTTTCTCAGAAAGCTTCTGTCTAGTTTTTATATGAAGATATTTCCTTTTTCACCGTATTCCTCCTCAAACAGCTCAGAAATATCCCTTTGCAGATTCTGTAAAACGACTGTTTCCAAACTGCTCAATCAAGAGAAAGTTTCAGCTCTATGAGTTGAATGCACGCATCACAAAGAAGTTTCTCAGAAATCTTCTGCATAGTTTTTATGTGAAGATATTTCTTTTTTCAGCATAAGCCTCAAAGAGCTCCCAAATATCCCTTTGCACATTCGATGAAAAGACAGTTTCCAACACTGCTCAATCAAAAGAAAGTTTCAACTCTGTGAGATGAAAGCATACATCACAAAGTAGCTTCTGAGAAATCTTCTGTGTGGTTTTTGTGTGAAGATATATCCTATCTCACCATAGGCAATAAAAGACTCACAAATATCCCTTTGCAGATTCTACAAAAGGACTCTTTCCAAACTGCTCAATCAAAAGAATGCTTCAACTCTGTGAGATGAATGCACACATCACAAAGAAGTTTCTCAGAATGCTTCTGTCTAGTTTTTATGTCAAGATATTTCCTTTTTCACCGTAGGCCTCAAAGACCTCCCGAATATTCCTTTGCAGCTTCTACAAAAAGATGGTTTCCAAACTGCTCAACCCAAAGAAAGGTTCAACTCTGTGAGAAGAATGAAAGAAGTTTCTCAGAAAGCTTCTGTCTAGTTTTTATATGAAGATATTTCCTTTTTCACCATATTCCTCCTCAAACAGCTCAGAAATATCCCTTTGCAGATTCTATAAAATGACTGTTTCCAAACTGCTCAATCAAGAGAAAGTTTCAGCTCTATGAGATGAATGCATGCATCACAAAGAAGTTTCTCAGAAATCATCTGCCTAGTTTTTATGTGAAGATATTTCCTTCTTCAGTATAGGCCACAAAGAGCTCTCAAATATCCCTTTGCACATTCTACGAAAAGACAGTTTCCAAAACTGCTCAATCAAAAGAAAGTTGCAAATCTGTGAGATGAATGCACGCAACACAAAGAAGTTTCTCAGAAAGTTTCTGTCTAGTTTTTATGTGAAGATGTTCCCTTTTTCACCATAGGCCACAAAGGGTTTACAAATATCCCTTTGCAGATTCTGCTGAAAGACTGTTTCCAAACTGCTCAATCAAAGGAAGGTACAATGCTGTGAGATAAATGCATGCAACACAAAGAAGTTTCTGAGAAACCTTCTGCCTAGTTTTTATGTGAAGGTATTTCCTTTTTCACCATAGGCCTCATAGGGATCCCAAATAACCCTTGGCAGATTCTACAAAAAGACAGTTTCCAAACTGCTCAATTAAAAGAAAG